>NC_000015.10:92804914-92956429 GCF_000001405.40 Homo sapiens | reverse complement strand
CCAGGTCAGAAGGGAACCCACAAGTGCTTTCAAGTGTTAATTATCTCTGTATAAATACCATTACAAAGGTATAAATTGACACATTTATTCTTCACTGACAATATATATTAGGCCTCTTCTGTTTATTCTGTTAGTTGCCAGATTGGTAGCTATTCAAAAGAGAGTATCATCATCTAAAAGGTATAGGTGGGCCTCTTATACCAGCTATTACTGCATGCCCCACAGCAAGAACACAAAAATTGCTATGCTGGGCAAAAATAAAACAAAAAAACCATATGATTCTGTATTCTCCCCTTAATTATGGTCCTTCTCTTGCCTATTCTCCACCCCAACCCTGAAGCACACAAACACCAAGAGCCACCAAACTCAACTTGTTTGCACTTAATACCAATGGGATCTACCTACCACATATATTTCTTAGCAGAAAGGCGGTATTTAAAGAGCTTCTTATTTTTGTCCTCCTCACAAAGACCATTCACATCATCTTTTCTGGAGAAATGCCTTAACAATGATACAATAGGAAATGCCTAAGATGACATTCAAGGGAAATACCTGAGATGGCATCCAATGACTGACAATAATCTCAGGTAAGTTACTGACCTATTCAATACCCTTTCATTCTGTTTAATTCAACTGGACTTGGTGACCTAAGGTCCCCTCATCTATAGGGTTCTGTTTTCTATTTATAACGTTAATATCCTTTGAAAAGTAATTTTTCTGGTTGTTCATTTGCTTGCTTTTTGAAATAAGAGAAGAAAAGTAACATGGCAAGTAGGAGGTACAGACCCTACCATTTGTTTTTTATTTTTAACTTTCAAGTATTTATTTCTAACATGCTCCACAGAACAGTAACAGACCCTACCATCTGGACAAGTCGCACTGGAAAAGATTTAGCCTTTTAGATATTAATTACACACCTTATCTTTCAAGAGGATCTCATATGTTGTTATAAGTGCGTTGAACTTCAATCTTTTGGTTTGGGAATGAATCCATTCATATTCCCGTATCTATAAGAAAAAAACATAATTAAGACATAATTTCTACTTCTACCTTTCTATATCACATAAGTTTTGTGATTGATGTAATAGAAACATGCCAAATAAAAAATAAATCTGATTAGAATTCAATGAATATCTCACATTCTAAAATGACCTAAGCAACCAAACTATAAAGCAGTAAGAGTTAGAATTAAAACACTGACCACCGAACAGCAAAAGCTTTATTGCCAGAATCAGAAGAAACTGGCCCCCAGAAATACATCTACTGAAGAAAATGCACTTCATCAGCTACTGAACCCTGGTGATTGGAACTCAACAAGGGATCTCCCAGATCCTTAGAAATTTCTTTTAAAAATGCAATTTATTTACTTTTTGAATAGGAAAATACATATATTAACAAGTAAAACAAATTCCAACCTTTGGAACTTCATCAACCATAGACCAAAGAGATATGTCCCCCAACAAAAAGGGAGGCTTGTAAGATGAAAATATAATGCAATACGTATAATAACGTCAATGTAAAAGAACACAAAGATGAGTACATTCATACTGAAGTATAACTGGACACTCAGCAAGCACGAAGACTCATGACAACGCTCTTGCAGTTTGGCTGTCAAGTTAGGAACTGGAGAACAAGACAGTAAGTGCCTGCAGGTGATCGCCCCCAAGTGGGGGTAAAAAGAACAAAGAAAAGGAGAACTGGAGATAGCAAGGAAAACTTCTCTGACTACAATTTTTTAGAGTTCATTTTCTTTGTTTGCAATCATTTTTGGAATGTAGTGCTTTACGCTATTTTGTAAACCTATAAATTTCTCTTTTTTCGTCTTTAACGGTTAACTAATGATTTAACAAAGCTAAAACTATATTCTTAGAAACTCAAAATTAGGCCAATGAAATCAGCCAGTGTTTAAGTTACACAATTTTAATGAAAGTATTTACCAAAAATAAATTTGAATTTGTATGAAAATATATGGTTACAACATGCAACTCAAATATTTAAACATTGCTAATGGCTTGCTCTTATTACAAGCAATTTCCCAGAAATAGTTTATATACAGTGATGAAAGAGCAAAGCTCTAGACTAGATAGAAACACCTGTGTCCGAATCTGAGCTCTGCCACATTCTTGCTCGCTAGGGTCGCGTGTTAAGACTCTCTGAGTCAATTCTTCATCAGTAGCAGGAAAGAATGCCATCAGCTTTGAAGACTATCATGAAGATTACAGGTATTATACGTAAAGCACCCAGCGCAACATCTAGCACACAGTAGGTGCTTTAAAAAAAGTTACTATAAAGAAAAGATCTGCTAAACAAAGATAAACTTAAGTCACTGTGTTCTAAATTCATGATGCCCAAATAAAGTTTGGTAACAGTTTAGGATAATTCTTATTTCTACAGTCCTAAAATAGCTTGTTTTCCTTTACTTTTATTCCTTTTTTATAAGTTATGCAACCTCACTGTTTAAGAAATTAAGAAATTCGAAGAATGATTATTTTCAGTAATATGTCTATTGAGAAAGCAAAAATAATATTAATATTACACAAAGTATTAACTCCATATTATCTCATATAAAGCAATCTTAGAAGTAAAAAGGGCAGAGAGAAGAAAAATTTAATATTGCAACCCAGCTAAAAGAGATTCCCACTCACATACTGCTGTTGCTTTTTAACTAGTAAGCATATTTGTTAAAGAACATCTGAGTTGCACTTTTGTGATAGATAAACCTCCTAATATTGAGAACACAGCACAGTATCAGAATAATAACCACAAATTTTACTGATGATCTACTGAAGGCTTTAAGTGAATTTCTAAATTACATTTATAACACAGATTCTAACCCAGCTCTTTTTGTTTACACACCGTATTTCTGCTCATCAGGTCACCTATGTAAACCACTACGTTAATCTCTGGTGCCCAGATTTCAAACTCTCTCTGCCATGAGGTGAGGGTGGATAAAGGGACGACTATAAGAAAGGGGCCATACAGCTGGTGTTGGTGGAACAGGTAGGAGAGGAATGATATGGTCTGGATGGTCTTTCCTAGGCCCATTTCATCAGCAAGGATTACACTATTATTTCTGCAGAAAGAAAAAATAAATAAAAACAAAAAAATCATTAGTTCACCAAAACACAGAATGTGCATAAACAGCAACGACACCAATGCTTCACAATAACAGCCAAGCAAGGTGTCATTCATAAGCCTCAAATGTATTTCTTCTCATCTGCAATTACTTCAGCTTTCAACATAAGGAAGAAAGTAGAAACCATAAAAAGCAGAATAACAAGTGGCCTACCTAGACTTGGATTACTATGACAGCCTTGTCAGACTCTTTACCTTTAGGCTTTTCACATCACCTTCCATAGGCTATCTTTTATCACAGAGAAGACAGGCTTTGTAAAAAGTGAAGACAAGCATGTAACCTTAGACTCCATCAATAGAGAAAGCTATCAGCACCGCTGGTGAATCCTGTGGCTGGCCCACCCCATTCCACTGCAGGCCACTGGGTTGTTTAATGCCACCCACACTATTTCCTAGACCTACATGTATAGGTGCATGGGGCTTGTTTTAAATACACTTTGGTCTAAAGCAGGGGTAGGCTACAGATCATACTTGTGGACCCCACCCTAGATATACTAAACAATATATGGAAAAGGGCTGACAAACACCTTTGGAGATTCTGACTCAGGTATTCCTTAGACCAGACCAGGATTCCCCACTCGGGAACCCAGCTGCACAGCAGAAGGTGAGCAGCGGGTGAGGGAGGGAAGCTTCATATGTATTTTCAGCCGCTCCCCATTGCTGGCATTAGTGCCTGAGCTCCGCCTCCTGTCAGATCAGCAACGGCATTAGATTCTCATAGGAGCATGAACCCCACTATGAACTACACATGTGAGGGATCTACGTTGCACACTCCTTATGAGAACCTAATGCCTGGTGATCTGTTGCTGTCTCCCATCACCCCCAGATGGGACCGTCCAGTTGCAGAAAAACAAACTCAGGGCTCCCACTGATTCTACATTATATAGTATAATGTAATAATAATAGAAATAAAGTGCACAATAAATGTAATGTGCTTGAATCATCCAGAAACCATCCCCCTCCCTCCTCCCCAGCCTGTGGAAAAATTGTCTTCCACGAAACCAGTCCCTAGTGCCAAAAAGGTTGGGAAGCACTACCTTAAAACCACAGTTTGAGAAACACTACTCTACAAAATGGGCTAGATTTCAACAGGATATTAATGGAAAAAGAATATCTAAGAAAAACATTTAAAATTGAAGAAACAGCCAGAGTTAGGAAAATATATTTGGGAAACAGAATACAGTCATTTTGGCAGGAAATTAGGATTACATGTAAGACATCAGATTGCAAACATTATAAAAAGGTTCTGGAAAATAAGGACACTGAAAGTTTGCACGTATATATAATATGTGCTTAATCAGCAAATCAGAAAGAACTAAAAGTAATTTATGAGTTAAAGGCAACCTAACTGATTCAAAAAACAAGACATTTAATTCACCAAAAAGACATAATTTCTAAAAATACCTTCTGTGTTCTACAAACTAGCTAGTTTAAAGGGTAAAATACAGAAACAAAGAAGATCACACTTGGGAAAGGGAGAATGATGAAGCCATACCCCTATACATCTCAGGTACACCTAATTTTCTACACAGTTTAAACGATGTAGTATATTCCTTTGAGTAATTTCCTTCTTATTTCCCTCACTTTTCAATACTATTCAGGAGGAAGCACAGTTAAGTTTCTCCAGTATTTCCTGCCCCTAGAAAATGCCATTGTCTACATATACAGACTACAGTAGGTTTGAATTGATTCACCTGTTTTTCTGGAACCAGACCAAAATAGCACATTATGTAATGTAGTAACATTCCTGTGACCAGGGCTTAACAGGTGCTTGAGCCCTTTTCAACTGATTTTTATTCCTTTGGTTTAAAGTAAAAAAATGCTGGCCAGGCACGGTGGCTCATGGCTGTAATCCCAGCACTTTGGGAGGCCAAGGCAGGCAGATCACTTGAGGTCAGGAGTTCAAGACCAGCTTGGCCAACATGGTGAAACCCCGTCTCTACTAAAAATACAAAAATTAGCCAGGCATGGTGGTGCGTGCGTGTAATCCCAGCTACTCAAGAGCCTGAGGCAGGAGAATCACGTGAACCTGGGAATCGGAGGTTGCAGTGAGCCAAGATCATGCCACTGCGCTCCAGCCTGGGCAACAGAGCAAAACTCAGTCTCAAAAAAACTAAAAAATAAAAAGTCTAAAAAATGCTGGCCAAGGACTGTACACAAAACACCATGTGACTCTGGATGGGTACACGGCACCTTTGTTCCTAAGAGTCTTCAATTATAAAATGAGAGGATTAGATCACAATTAAAGTTCATCTAACTTTTATTAACTGTCATTTAGATGAATTAGGTCCCACTAACCTCTAAAAGGAAAAATCATTTTTAAGCAATTCAGAATCATTATATCAAACCCACATTCTCAATCTTCTCAAGACACCTAATTTTCACAACTGAGTATTAAATATTGTACTAGATTTTATCAGATAAAAAGTAGGAGATGGTTCACTTGGGAAAAAGTCACTGTAAATGCATCTCTATAACTAGAAAGCTTCCTTTCAGCAATGAGGGGAAAAATATTTTTTAAGCTGTCCTTTTTTTTTTTTTTAAGGTGAAGTTTCACTTTGTCACCCAGGCTGGAGTGCAATGGTGCGAAAATGGCTCACTGCAACCTTGGCCTCCTGGACTCAAGCGATCCTCCCACCTCAGCCCCCAAGTAGCTGAGACTACATAAGCATGCCACCATGTCCAGCTAATTTTTGTATTTTTTGGTAAAGATGGGGTTTTGCCATGTTGCACAGGCCTGTACTTCTAATTCTAAATAAGGATTTTTTGCTTTACTATAAAACACTAAAGACATTAAGCATTTGCACTTAATTGGGTACTTCGGGAAAGAAGTGTGTAGGTTGGCATTAAAGGTACTTCTTACACTGCATGTTCTGTAAGGACAGCAAAATACATCTATATAGGTTCACTGTTAAATTCTCGAGGACTAATGGATCCGCATGTGAAAAGTAAAAAGTTCCTCTTCAAAGTTTCCCTTTTTGTTAAAGAATAAATAACAAGTGTTAGAAATAACAGTTTCTTTTAGAAATTAACTTCCTTCAAGCTCCCTTGCTTTTTGCTAATAACTCTTTGTTAAGCCCTATGTGGCTGTTAAATATAGTAAGGGAATAAGTACATTCTATGTCCTTGTACTTTAACCAGGTTATTTGTTCTGGACTATAACCTGCTCAGACATGTCCGAACGTGCCCAGGCATTTCCCAGCTTACAGCCTACACCCCTTCCTTATTTGGAAATGTTATTATTCTCCTAATTTCCTGTAAACAACCCCCTTCCTTTGTTTTCCACTGCGCGTTTATCTATTTAGGAAAGTTTTAAGCTTTTAGCCAATCGGAATCAGTCTAGATTGTGCGGTCCAGCTCCAGCCAATGGAGACAGGACGCAGCAGTAAGAACCCAATGAGTCAGGGATAAAAACCTCTGCTTTTCTTTGTTCGGTGTGCTCTCATGACAATTAGGCTTCCAAGAAGCACCCTTTCTGCAGAAAGTAAAATTGCCTTGCTGAGAAAATTCCTTGAGCACTAGTTCTTTTCAGCACCGAGGAACAAGCATTTGTTTCTAACACCTAGCACTTAGTAATTAGGAACTACTTGAAATTGGTGAAGGAAATTTGTAAGTACTTCCCAAAAGTACCTTTAAACCTCCAGTGCTATCACTGTCTCATCTTTTTTTCACCCCCCCAAGATTAACGTGGTCTTATAAAAAGGATACTTTCACAGGTTCAACCTTCCTCTGAACAGGATAATCCTACAGACTATATAGGTAGGGAGTGGAGTGAAGGGAGGGGAATCACACTCTCTACAGCACTACTGTAGGAAATTAATTTAAAGGCTTCCCTGGCCTAGAAAGAAAATACATGTGAAAAAGACATCTTCTTCTTTCTTCTGAGTAACTCCTTCCACATTAAAGATTTGAGTGACTTAACTTGCTATATACACTCATGAGTAACATATGATGATACAGGTTTCTGGCTATGACAAATTACCCACCAAATAATGAAATAAAGTATTCTTTAGATCAGAATAAAATGGTATTACACATACATAAAAACTCCCAGGAAGCATTTCTCTCAATCATCTTTTATTTCTGTAATATGCAGCATAAAGATTTCTTGGTTGAGATACAATAAGGGTGTGAAAAAAGAAAAAAAAAATTCTTGACATCTAACAATAAAGAAGCCAGAAACAGTAAGGAAAATTGCACTCATATTTTTCTACCTACTTGCACCAGGAATGAGCTAGCCAGTTTAGACCTTCTAGCTGATAATCTCGAAGTTCCAGATTCTCCCCTCCTAAATATGCAGGTTGTTTCTTTAAAGCTACAAATCGTGGTCTCTGCTTCAGGGCCTGAAAAACAAAAGCCCAAGTCTGAGAAAATGTTCTTACTGCTACTATGTTAAAACGCTAGCCACAATTCACATATTCGGCATCAAAGCATAAAAACTCAAATTTCTTTTTTTGAGACGGAGTCTTGCTCTGTCACCCAGGCTGGAGTGCAGTGGCCCAATCTCGGCTCACTGCAAGCTCTGCCTCCCGGGTTCACGCCATTCTCCTGCCTCAGCCTCCCAAGTAGCTGGGACTACATACAGGCGCCCGCCACCACCCACGCCTGGCTATTTTTGTATTTTTAGTAGAGATGGGGTTTCACCATGCTAGCCAGGATGGTCTCGATCTCCTGACCTCGTGATCTGCCCACCTCGGCCTCCCAGAGTGCTGGGATTACAGGCGTGAGCCACCGCGCCTGGCCAAAAACTTAAATTTCATGTGTGTGAATCACCACCTCACTCCATCACCCCTTTCTTCATGGTTAATATTCCATAAGCCAGAGTTAGTTCATCCTCAAATAAAATATTTTTAGTTAACTTGCCCCTTTCCTGAAATAAATCTATGAACATCATTAAATAGCACTTTAGGTCTTGTCTATTATATGGCAGTCAGAGTCTCCTATTTTTCAGAAACAACTATCTTTCTGTTATCTGATTCTAAAGAGTACAAAACATTGCCTCCAGCTGTCATATGCTAAATACAGTTGATCTTCACCATAACAGGATTTGTAAATTCAGAAATGCCGCCCATCTACCTTAAACCCTTTAATTGCGTGAATTTGGTTTTCCCTTCAGAAACAAGCTTCTGAAGGGAAGGTTGTTTTCACCCCCAGAAGCTTAAAGGATAGCATTCTAGTGAGGTCAGTCTCTATGGTTTGCATAAAATGTGGATTCTGTGGCCAAATCAGTTTAGGAAACAACCGATCAAAAAGTTATACAATTTCTTTACTCATGACTTTTCAAAGTCTGAAATGTGTGTCCATAGCGTGAATTTACAGGAGAAATTCATTCAGGGATGTATCTCAAAGTTACATGGCCAAAAAGTCTTTTTTCAGGGGACTTTTCTCTGAAGATTAGTGCTCTATAGCACACATTATGAGAAGTATCATTCTAATAAGAATATTTGATAAGGTTATTGATGTGTTCAGTTCTCTATGAGGGCGGCTGGCAGTGAATGGAATCCGACTGCTTACTCTCAACTCCAAAACCCAGCCATCCATCCACTCCTACCAAACCTACCCCATAACTGTTCTCCCATCCACTCCTTCCACGCCACTGTTACTTCCCTTGTCCTCACACTACTTCTTCATTCGTGGACTTCAATGACATCTTACTGGCTGGACCTTCTGGCTTTAATAATTACTTACTCCAGAGTCTCCTATATACTGCTATTACATGAAGCTTTCTAAATAAAACTATTTCATAATGCCACTGTACTCAGCTGTACGAATACCTAGGAGATAAAGTCAAAATACCCTTCGAGGTAGCCAAGACACACACACTTTGACCTTGATGTACTTGTCAACATCATTCCTCTTCTCCTCACCCCTGGGGTCTAGTAGTTCTCCTATTGAACTATAAGAATCTTTCTCTTGATACCTTTCACAGGAGGGCAATACCCTGGGCCCCCTCTTGTCTGTATAGCCAGCAGCACCAATCCATTATACAAGGGCCAGATGCAGTTCAACAACCACAACTTCCTCTTAAAACCCATTCAATGACCACTGGAGCTCAGAGACTTCTACATTGGTGCTTCTCTGACCACATTTTCCCTATCACACTCTTTGGCAATTAAATACTGGTTTTCACAGATAGAATTCTAGTGCCATTAACATGAATGTCAACTTCTCAGAGACGTATCACTTGTCTGATATTTCATTACTGAGGACCCAAGCACATCAGTTTCCTGATGGAATAAATTCCAAGGAAAGGATTTATTCAGCCAATCTAGCAAATAAGCCTATATATTTAATTTCTAACTTAGAATTCAAAGACACTCGCCTTTTCTATCACTTCCCGCTCTCTATTTTTTTTTTTTTTTAGAGAACGGGTATCACAATCTTCCCCAGGTTGGCCTCAAACTCCTGTGCTCAAGCAATCCTGCCGCCTCAGCCTCCCAAGTAGCTGGAACCACAGGTGTGAGCCACTGCAACTGGCTTCACTTCTCTTTTAAAGTGCCTAAATGCAACTGGGCATGGTGGCTCACGCCTGTAATCCCAGCACTTTGGGAGGCCAAGGTGGGTGGATCATTTGAGGTCAGGAGTTTGAGACCAGCCTGACCAACATGGTGAAACCCCATCTCTGCTAAAAATACAAAAAATTAGCTGGAAGTGGTGGTGCGTGCCTGTAATCCCAGCTGCTCAGGAGGCTGAGGCAGGAGAATCACTTAAACCCAGGAGGCAGAGGTTGCAGTTAGCCAAGATAGTGCCAGTGCACTCCAGCCTGGGCGACACAGCGAAACTCTGTCTCAAAATAAAATAATAAAATAAAATAAAATAAAAGTGCCTAAATCCTTTCAAGTATTCTCTCAAATATCTCTATTTCTAATTATGTAAATTGCAAGATTAAACAAGTCAGCAAAGCCATGAAATAATTCATTCTCTCCTTTTGCTTTAATGTCATATTTAAATCACCTTCTTTCACTTCAAAATGGCAATCATCATTTCATTTTGTAATATTTTCTCAGCACATATGTGTCCAATCCTCTTTATCAGTATATCTTCTCCCTGAAAAAACAAAAGCCAACCATCACCATACCTTGCATTCTCTTGTTGGGATGGTTTTTGAGTTGTTCCTACTGTGGAAGCTGTCAATGCAATTCTGGAATTTCTTTCCAATGAGGGCTTCATCTTCCCAGCTACACTCTGAATAGGGGAGTCCCATCCATTTACATAGATATTCGGGCTCATTTGAGGGTGCCGGCTTCCGACTATGAGCTATTTCATATAAAAAAAATTTATAGATTAGCAACTGTCAATTAAAAGTGAAAAATGACATTCTGTTTTATGCATAATCAATAAAACATCATGTGGCAAAACAAAATAATCTGCAAAACATACACTGTTCTGAAATGTTGAAGAACATTTATAAATAAAATTTCTTGCTTACCTGGAAAATCTGTTTGACCCAATGTAGATTTACTTGTCTTCACAGCTAAACAAATAAAAAATAAGACAGAAAAGTTATAAACACAATGAAGAATGAAAGATTTTGGGTTCTATGAATAAAATGTAAATATATTCTACTACCTCACACCTTAAAAAAGAAAAAAAAAAAATGGGATTATAGTGGCTCACGCCTGTAATCCCAGCACTTTGGGAGGCCAAGGCAGGCAGATTGCTTGAGGCCAGCAGTTCAAGACCAACCTGGCCAACATGGTGAAACTCTGTCTCTACTAAAAATATAGAAATTAGCCGGGCGTGGTGGGGGTGGGGGGTGCCTGTAATCCCAGCTACTGGGAAGGCTGAGGCAGGAGAATCACTTGAACCCGGGAGGCAGAGGTTGCAGTGAGCTGAGATCACGCCACTGCACTCCAGCCTGGGCAACAGAGCAAGACACCATCTCAAAAAAAAAAAAAAGAAGAAGAAGAAGAAGAAAAAAATTCTTTTTCTCATCTCTCTCTCAGGCTGACACTCCACTTCTCTGTTCCCCTTTGTAAGAAAACTCCCCCAACGAGTTGTTTATACTTGCTATCCCCTCTCATTTTCTCTTGAACCTACCCTAATCAGGCCGCACCCTCACCACTCCATGGATGCGTTTTGCCAGTGCCAAATTCACAGATCAAGTCTCAGTCCTAATCGTCCTTGACTGACAGCATTTCCTCTCTCCTGGCTATGTGAATCACTTGGCTTCCAGTACACCACTCTCTCTCAGCTCTCCTCCTGTCTCACCGACTGTTCTTTCTCAGTCTCCTTTGCTAGCTTCTTTCTGACTTCCAAAAGCTGAAATGCTCTCAGACTACTTCTTCTTACCACGTGATACTCTATTTCTGATGGTCCTGTTCAATCTTGGCCTTTAAATACTAAATACTGATAAATTTCCAAATTTAAATCTCCAGCCCAGACTAAAGAGTCCTAAGCTCCAGGTTCACATATGCTCCAGCCTTCACTATATTCTCCACTTAGATGACTAAGAAGTAAATCAAACTTACAAATATCAAACTAAGCTCTTGGTCTCCACTCCAATGATCAGCTCTTCCCTTCATCTTTCCACTTCGGTAAATGGTACCTCTAAACTTCTACATGTTTAGGCCACAAATCTTGAGGTCATACTTAACACCTCTTTCTCTCATCCCCCACATCCAAATTTACCAGCAAATCTTCTTAGCTTTTCCTTTAAAATAAACCTAGCACGTGTCTAGTCTCCAAAGTGCATTTTTAAAATTTACATTACTTCCAAAAGCAAAAGCCACTATTCCTCAAGTTCAAATATGGCTGAAGTGAGTTACCATGTACTTACCTATTACTCTTTCTACTATCTGATACTGTTTATTCAACTCTGAAGCCAGCTCCTGTTGGCAATTGAAATATTCTACATCTTCAGGAGAAACTTTCCCTAACCTGAATGGCAGACAGACAGAAAAAGTACACATAAACTAAAGTCTGGGGATCCACATACATCAAAGCAAAAGTCAAAGGTGGAAAAGAAAACCTATTTTTTACTCCCATCTGCCCCTTAAGTAATCTTTACTAGTAATTACGCCAGAGATTTTACAAAACAAAACAAACAAACAAAAAAAACACTTTTAGAGAACACTGAAAACCTTACACTCATAGAAGGATATACCAGTTACCTGCCTCTGATGTGTCCTGTCTAAAAAGAGACCCAAAAATAACTCTTTTATGTGATAGATTCATGTGGCAAATTCATACATCTCAACAAATCAGGATAATAAAACTGTACGCCTTTTCTTATATATATATGGGTTTTAGGATTGATTAAACATGACTTGGAAAACTAGTTATTCTTATTACCAAAACCTTTCAGATGACAACAGCAGCAACTTAATATTAGAATTATTATATTTCAGAGGATTTCAAATTTCTAACTGCTTTACAAGCCTACCTCACCATCTAAGGGGTACATATTTTCAGTTTTGAGTCAAAGAAAAAACATGTAATTTACTAAAGTAGCACATTTTGCACAGTAGTAAAACCAGAATTACTGTCCACATTCCAGACACAAAAATCTATGCACATTCCAGACACAAAAATAGGCTAATCACACCACACAGACAGGTATGTCTTCAGGCTGAGCTTGATACCATTATTACCCAGTTTAGGTTTTTGTGTGCTATAGCTCCACATATTTCCCATATACAACACCCAGACATTCAAGGCTGTAAGTAAACTAAACACACGAGGACTATCACAGTTTCAGTAGTTAACCTAATAATTTCCTTCACATCATTTCTGCAAATTGTATAAAACCAGAATTTGTTTTAAGTATATCATAACCCAGAGAGTTCCAGAATATTAACTCTCTACATCTAAGCCACCCCAGCCTAACTACAGGAAAATAACAAGGTGCTTAAGAGAATAAGCTCTGGATTCAGGGCATCAGAATTCAAAACCTGAGTCCACTTGCAGAATTGCTGTGTGCCGTATTCTCCCCATCTACAAAATGGGTAATAACAGTACAAATCTCATGCACTTATTGTGAAAACTAAAGAATGTGTGAATAACGCTCCATAAGCTAGTTAACTCCAAAAACTTGGTAGCCACATATAAAAATATAGTATCTGAAGGTCACAATCTTATAAAATAGAATTGTAAATGGCTCCATGTTTAGATGATCAAAGCAAAATCTGAGATTCTAGATAGCTGTGATCTCCATGCATTATTTTAAAACCTTCCCTTCTTTCAGGCTGCAAATACATTTCTTTAATCCATGATGGAAAATATACCATTGTTTGATTTCGTCCTCTTTTTTCTTGAAGTTCTCTAGTTTTTTTAGGCCCTTCACTTTCTGTTGCTGTAAGGATTCTTCACTCTCCCATGTGCTGTGGATGTAAGACCAACCCTTCCACTTGATGAGGTACTGGATTTCACCTTCATCCTTTTCAGTGTCAAAGTCACCACTAGGGTCGCCATTAGCTTCAATCGCATATACAGTAGTAGATGCTCCAGTGGCTGCAAAAGGATTAAGTACACTTGAAAGAGAGTATATTACACCAGATATTAAAAAGCTTCCCAAGAATGCAATTATCTGAAGACTCCCTTTGTGGATGAAGCACCAAAATACTTCAACTTGAAATAAGTACAAACTCACAAACAACACAGAACGGACTCAATCAAAAATTTCAAGTATTTTAAAAATGTAAACCACTTTTTACATATTCCTAAATTTGCAGGTGAAATCAAAGAAATCCCTTATTCAAAAACAATAAAAACAGAGCAGCAACATCCTTTTGTTTTGGTCCCTTACTAACTCGGAAAACAAATCCCTCTCTCCAAGACTAAGGATAGAACACCAAAATATCCTCCTCCAACCTCCCCTACTCGAAGTCCCCGGTTAACTTTCTTAACCTCAATCGAAGCCAGAATGAAAAAAAGAAAAAAAAAAAAAAGCCAAAAGAAAAAGCATTAAGTATTATTTTGGTATTTCCTTTACAGAAAGTTTACTTTAATGCAACTTAGTTATGAGATATCTAAATTAGATATTTAAAAATCTTCAATATTACCACAATATTTATTTAACCAGTTTGATATTTTCACAAGGAGCTTAAGAAACAAATAACCAAAGGTGGATTTGCTTAATGTTAATTAGCAGGTATCTCTGCTATATCACTGCTTTATAAAACATTGACACTTATCTATACTAGCTTAATTTAAAATCTTAAAGACATAGTGTACACATACCTTTGTCCTCAGCTCTGAAACACTGGGTCAGAAAGACTTCTACATATCACAACAAATACAGCAGTAGACTAAAATTCATCACATTAGAGTTAAAATACCTAAAATCTAAGTCTTACTAAGCATACATAAAATGTAATTTGCTCCCCAAATACACATACCTCCTTTCTTTCCCAGTCTTGAATCTAAGACCTTTTCAATAGTTTCACTATTATCTTGCTGTTCATCAACTCCTTCTCCAGTCATTTCAATGAGATCATCTGAGTCAGTCTCAAAGTCATCATCTTCTTTGTAACTGCAAGAGGAATAATGCTGAATAAATGAGAAATGATCTCTTCAGAATTAAACTGCCACACATAACCGTCACTAGAATAAGAAACCATACCCTTTTGGTTCCAAAAGCATGTTGTTTTATAGATCTGCCATTTACAGTAGGCTCAAAGCTTACTTTTTTTTCCTAAAGTGCTGATGAATGCTCCTAAACAACTGTAGGGAGTCTAACTCAATTTGAAAATAAAAATTCTATATTTATACTGATTTGTATAAGCAAGATATAGAAAACTATAAGGACACTTCTATTTTTTTCATTTTTTAGTATCAGATTATTATGTAAACAAGTAGACTACCACACAAAAAAAGAAAAACCATAATGGAAGAAAAAATTTGCTACTATTTCATCAGGCAAAAAGAGAAGCAATATTTCTAAAATTAAAAATGTCAACCCTGTATGTTGTCTCCCAGTAATAAGAATATGAAATTTAAGTATTCCCAGACTGCTGGAAGCTTCAACACAAATACTTCCTGGTTTAAAAAAAGAAACATATTGGCTAGGCGCGGAGGCTCACACCTGTAATCCCAGCACTTTGGGAGGCTGACACAGGTGAATCACGAGGTCAGGAGTTAGAAACCAGCCTGGCCAACATGGTGACCGTATCGATTAAAAATACAAAAATTAGCCGGCATGGTGGGCGCCTGTAATCCCAGCTACTCTGGAGGCTGAGGCAGCAGAATCACTTGAATCCGGGAGGCAGAGGTTGCAGTGATCCAAGATCGCGCCACTGCACTCTAGCCTGGGCAACACAGCAAGACTCCGTCTCAAAAAAAAAAATTATATATATATATTTATATATATATTTATATTTATATTTATATTTATATATATTTATATTTATATATATTTTATATATATTTATATGTATATTTATATATATATTTATATATATTTTTATATATATTTATATGTATATTTTTATATATTTATATATTTATATATATTTTTATATATTTATAATATTTATATATATTTATATTTATTTATATATTTATATATTTTTTATATTTTTTATATATATTTTTATATATGTAACTTCCTATCACATATTAACAATGAATGATTGAGTCACAAGAAAGAAAAACAATCCTGGATGTAGTACAGTTACAGTAAGAAAAAGTGCTAGGCTATACACTAGCATACTCAAAGCCCAGTCCTAGCTTTGGAATTATTAACTGGATACATTGAATAAGTTATGAATATCTCTAGGATTCATTTTCACCATCTCTATGAAGAACAAATCTGTAAAATCTAAAAAAAAAAATACTTGATTTCTATAAAGTAAACTACTAGTGTTTGCATATATCTGTTCCTTTATTTCATTTTCCTTTTTCTTTTTGAGACAGGATCTAGCTTTTTTGCCTGGAGTGGAGTGCAGTGGCGTGATCTCAACTCACTGCAACCTCCATCTCCCAGGATTCTCCCACCTCAGCCTCCCAAGTAGCTGGGACTGCAGGTGCATGCCGCCACCACACTCGGCTTTTTCTTATTTTTTGTAGAGACAGGGTCTCGCCCTGTTGTCTAGGCTGGTCTCAAACCCCTGGGCTCAAGCAATCTGCCTGCCTCGGCCTCCCAAAGTGTTGGAATTACAGGCATGAGCCACTGAGCCTGGCCTATTTCACTAATGATAATTCCTATTAATGCTTCATATCCTATTAGTACTTGATAAAATCAGATTCAAGTAGCAATACGTTAAGCTGAACCTCAGAAAAACGTCTGTGATTCAAAGAGCAATTCAGAAGTAGGAATATAATCCAAATATCTTTAATGGAAAAAAATGTTATGAAATGAAGATAATGCCACTAAGTCACCATTGGACAGGACACGAACTTGTGGTGTTTTTTAGGAATGAAGGCTTCAAATGAGCTATTGCTACTCTTTTCCTATTCCCCTTGGCTCAATACCACTCTTTTTGCA
The DNA here is from genome assembly GCF_000001405.40 of Homo sapiens. Classification (NCBI taxonomy): domain Eukaryota; kingdom Metazoa; phylum Chordata; class Mammalia; order Primates; family Hominidae; genus Homo; species Homo sapiens. The sequence goes on along the minus strand of NC_000015.10, from coordinate 92,939,868 downwards.
AGAAAGCTAACCAGATTTCTGAAAACAACTTCAGGACATAGGCTGTTATTTTTATCTATTAAGTGCACAACCCCGGACTTATGAGAACCAAAATCTAACCAACTACTTTATCACATCACACCAGTGAAACACTTCTGGGGTACAACTTACCTAACGTTTTTAGCCGCTCTTCGACGAGTCTGCCTTTTGGGAGCTTCGTCATCATCATCATCCTCATCAGAAGAATCTTGCTTTTTTCTCTTTCCACGCTGAGTCTTCGGCTGCTTTTTAACACGAGGTTTGGGCACTGTTCTAAAATGAGAAGAGAAACAAAAGGCTAAGTCTTCACTTTATCATTTGGTGTCTACTTTATATAACAGTATTTCCCAGAGCAGTGGTTCATACATCAGAATGTAACATTTCACTTGGGGAATGTTAAACATGCATATTCTTGGGCCCTACTCCCTGAAATTCTAATTCACTAGAAATCTGGATTTCCAACAGGAAGGTCATTCTAATGCTGATAATCCTCAATCATTTATGGGAAAGAACGTGAATGTTTCACAAATGTTCATCAGGATTACCTGATATAAAAACACATACACAGCATGTTGTTCATGATAGTATCTCTTTGGTGGGCAAACTGGAAATAGCTATCAAACTATTTTACTTGTAGGAATTAACAGTTTTACTTGTAGGAATTAATCCTATTGATATACACCTAAACAGGCATAATAAAGTATTCACTATAGCATTATTTGCAACAACAAAACATTAAGAAAACTCTAAATATTCTTCAACTGGAAACTAAACAGTACCATGTACTCATAGAAAAAAAAAAAGAGTTTTTTGTATACTAATACGAAAGGATTTCCAGGATAAAGAAACCTACAGAACAAGCAGCAGAGGATGCTATTATCTGTGTGAAGAAAGTAAAGCACAAGAAGTAACTATACATAAGTTTTTACTGTATGTGTATAAAATATACCTGGAATACTACCTGAGAGACTGTGTGCCCTATCACAGAATTAACTTGGACAGACCAGGGAGATGGCCAGGATTGAAAGCCACAGTCTAGAAGCTCACCTAAGGAAATCCCCAAATATTCCATCAGTGATAAAAAGGTGAAAGAAGTCAGAGAGGGAGAGAAATGGATACTCATGATCACATTTATTATCTCTTTCTCTCATACCTCCCATACCTTTCTCATAACCAAACCTAAACAGATGATCAACGATGTAATAAATAATGAGCAAAATTCTAAAAGACAGAACTGGCGTGACAGTTCTGAGATAAACTTATTAAGCTGAGATAAAATAAGATAAAATTCAGTTGACAAATTCCCCTGCTGGTGTTGGGGGGTAAGTACAATGTCCTAGGCCAGAGGTTGGCAAACTTTTTCTGTAAATGGCCAGAGAGTAAATATTTTAGGCTCTGCCAGCCAAGAGGCAAAATGGGGACCAATGTATAGGTCCTTACATAATGAAAGAAAATAAATTTTCACAAATTTTTTTAAATAATTCAAAATGAAATAATCAGGTACATTTACTGCAATATATATCTACTAATGAGAACAGAATTGTTTTTGAGGGGATAACATTTCACTTAATTGGAGTTCAAATTTAGTGCTCTCTATCCTTAAACTGTAAATTAGAAATGTTCATCTATAAAAACTATTCTTAGCTCACAGGCCATATGAAAATAGGTGGTGGATGAAATTTGGCCCAAAGGGCATAGTTTGCTGAGTCCATTCTAAGCAATACTACAAGGAGGTAATTTTCCCTGGGGCCTGTCTTCTGACTCCCTTTTCCTGTCATCACTATCTTAGGCTGCCATCTGTCTTATCAAAAATTAGCATAATTTGCTGCTATTTCAGCCTACCTCCTTCTCTACACAATCAGATTATTTGTTTAATGTTATATAGATTTTATGAACAAGGTAATAAACCACTCAAGTATGCTTTAAGCCAGGCAAACAGTGTTTTAAACAATTTGTTCTCCCAAAAAGAGACTGTACCCTGGCCAAACATATAAGGAGTTTTACTAAAAGCGGAAGACATGTTTGCCCCACGATAGCCAGTCTGCGAAGAAAGAAGCAGTAAGACCTGCAATGTAGGCTGGCTGAAAGTGAACCACAGATATCTAAAACGCAGAATCAAAACACAATGCATCTCATTAAAGCTCTCATTTCAGCACGACATTATCCTTCCCAATCTACAGCAGATTAAGCTCATCCCAAGTAGAGATCTTAAGCAAACAGTGCACCTTCTGGGGACAGGTCTTCTGGCTTTTACTTTTTTTTGTTCTGGCTCACTCTCTGCACTGGTGCCTTGTTCCTGTTCATCTTCTGAGGGTTCCTGTTTCCATTTTTCTCTGTGATCAAAAGCAAAACAAAGTAATTTTTTTCTAAAAGAATCCTTCAAGATAAATAATCCGACAAAACCAATTTCAATTTTACTATCCAAAGGGCAGAACATGCACATTTTAGACATGCTAAAAGAGATTCTAGCTCCATTTAAACTTGAATTGTGATCCTTCCTGGACTACATAATATCGATTCCTATTTTATCTCCAGTAACAAAAATAAATAAAAATGGATATATATGTACTTTTTTCATTTACTACTCTTATTGACAAGATTGAAACCATAACATGCACAAGATCAGTGCTTCCAAAATTTTAAAATGTTATCAGGACCACCTAAAGGGCTTGTTAAAAAAGATTTCTGGGCCAAGTGAGATGGTCCATGCCTGTAATCTCAGCACTTTGGGAGGCCAAGGTGGGAGTTTCACTTGAGTCCAGGAGCTCAAGACCAAGCTGAGCAATACAAGACACCTCTCCAGAAAAATTAAAGTTAAAATTTTAAAATTGAGCCAGGCCTGGTGGAGCATGTCTACAGTCCTAGTTACTAAGGAGGCTGAGGAGGCGGAAGGATCACTTGAACCCAGGAGTTTGAGGTTGCAGTCAGCTGTGATTTTGCCACTGTACTCCACCCTAGGCGGTTAAGAGTGAAACCCTGCCCCTATCTGCCCCTCCTCCATCAAAAAAAAAAAGATTTCTGGGCCCTAGTCAGAGCTCCTGATGCAGTAGGTCTCAGTTGAGGCCTAAAAAATATGAATTTCAACAAATTCAAGTAATGCTGATACTGGGTAGAAACTCTGAGAACCACTATACTAGATATTTTAAGTCTCTAGAATACATTTAAGGAAACAGTCCCTAAAATTATTTTTCAACAATAAACCTATCATATAACTAATCTGTTCAGCTAAAGATGTAGTTTTTAATAATTATTAGATACAGTAGATGTTCCTTTGCTCCTTGAATTCTTAGAAGGCTTGAAAGAGCCATAACCTACAGGCGTCCTACTATCCCAAACAGTTTTAGTTTACTTGAAAATCCAACAAGATATTGCAGGGACCCCACTCATTTCTCACCTACAGAGAAGAGGGAAGAAACATGTAATAGCTGCTAGGCATGAAATACCTAGGAAAAAACTGACAGGCAAGTGCCTGGGGCTTCTCTGTAAATCAAACAATTACCAATTTGCCTATGGGTCACTTTATAGGGAATGAGGTCATACTAAAGACAACAGCTACAACAAGACAAATGTCAAATCAATATTCTTCATGGGAGAACAGGTCAAGTAATGGTGAAAGCTTATTGAAAGGAGGTGGCTGATGTGCAGATTGAGAACCTTCCTAAAAGCTACAACGGTCACCCTAAACCTGAATTGGTGGAGACCTTAGGGGGAAAAAACAACAATTCAGGCCTTCCACGGACGGTCAGTGGAGCAATTTTATGAATATTATTCAACTTCTACTAGCACTGCGTGTTTCCATATGCATTTCCCCAGTAGATGGGTCCTTGTACACCAAGACTTTTTGTTCGTCTTTGTACCAGAGTTTAGCCAAAGTCAGGCAAATGGAGATGTTTCTTTGTTAGGTTAAAAAAAAAAAAATCAATGAAAGAATGCGCAATTAGTCTATCAGTCAGACGGGTAGGGGTGCTTCTGGTAAGACAGAAAGGCCTGTTAGTATTGCCTAATATCCTTCAGTCTCTTTAAAACAAAGACCTTCGTATATACACTCTGGACACTGGTCTAATTCTGCTTCCCCGGAGCATAGTACAATAAATGTTTGCTAAGAATCCAAGGAATATAAGGTGATCACCAGGAAGGAAGAAAGGAAGATGTTTACAGTAAGTGGGAGACCAGCATGAGTCTGCAGTCTCCCTCAGACCAAGTCCACAACAGTTTACCCCTCAGAGGGGGCTTACACAGTCAAACTGGAGAGAAGTAGAAGCATGCTTGAAGGAATATGAACAGCTAGTCCTTCAGATAAGAAAGATTCACCAATAAATTCTAATTACCATATCTCCCCCAGGAATTGAGAACCTAAACCAGGGCCACCAATGAGGTCCACTTCTATAAGTATAGCAGACAGCAAACACAGAGAATGGATGTGTTGAGGCTAGAGTTTTCCAGTTAGATTACAGATTTACAGACTTATGAACAACCAGGAGGACTTAGAATCTCCCAATATAAGAATGCAAAAAAGGTCGGGCGCGGTGGCTCACGCCTGTAATCCCAGCACTTTGGGAGGCCGAGGCGGGCGGATCACGAGGTCAGTAGATTGAGACCATCCTGGCTAACGTGGTGAAACCCCGTATCTACTAAAAATACAAAACAATTAGCCAGGCGTGGTGGCGGGCGCCCGTAGTCCCAGCTACTCTGGAGGCTGAGGCAGGAGAATGGCGTGAACCCGGGAGGTGGAGCTTACAGTGGGCCGAGATCGGGCCACTGCACTCCAGCCTAGGTGACAAAGCGAGACTCTGTTCTCAAAAAAAAAAAAAAGAAAGAAAGAAAGAAAAAAAAAACTTAGCAAATCAACTAGTCCAAAGTTCTCCTCCCAGAGAAGGAAACTGAAGTGCAGTGAGGAAATGAGTTGCTTGGCCATATCACCAACCCTCAGCCCTGCTACTTTCAATCATAACTCACTGAGGACCAAAGAATCAGGAAACATTAAAGCCAGGCTTACACGTCCTGGGAGTATTTGAAAAACTCAAGGTTTAAAAGGCCTAAGTGTGTGTGTATGTATATTTGAAATTGGTTGGATTCTTTCACGTTTTCTTTTCATTTTCAAGAACGAGAAAAAAGATAGTAAGGACCAGCAATACTAAGTCACTGTGAAGAATGGGTGAAGTGAAAAAAGTGACTGAGCTGTTACAAAGAAATTACTTCCCAACCCTACAGATGTATAAGGCTCTCCCACATGTGAAACTGCTGTCCTCTCCTACATTACTGGCCTCTTATAAAATGCAAATCTTATCAAGACTCCACCACTAAGCCATACATTGTAAGTCAGTCTACAATAAAGAATAGTTTAAGATATGAGATCGTGAGCAAAAAATGTCTATCAAAGGAAACTTACAATATCCAGCTTTAGAGGCCATTAACAGAGTCCCCCCTAGATACTGTAAAAACACATAATTCAACTAAATTTTTCCCGAAATTTTGAGAACTAGGGAGAAAAATACCAAGATTTAGCCAAGAGGCCCCAAGGCAATGTAAATAGACATGGAAAAAGTCAAAATGCAATTTAAATGTGTATAGTTTTCTTCCTTTATTGGGAAAAGGTGGTTGGCTAGACACAAATCCTAAGACAGACAAATCAAATCTAATCAACTGTAAAGTAGGAAATGAACAAAAGCTACTTTTAAATATAATGAGCCAGAACTTTGACCAAGAGTTGGTAAGGCTTGCTATTAACTGTCTGTAAAAAAGAAAACTCCTTTTTCCTCCACTTAGAAGACATCTGGAAGAGGGAAGTAGCTACTTTTGTTTCCTCAGTCTTCAGTAGATTTCCCCAAGAAAGCATGCTTTTGAAAAAAAAATTCCAATGATCAACAGAAATCTGAGGCTAATAGGGATTCCCTTCCACTGTGTTACAGGTATGTGACAATCTCCAATTCAAAACACTGGAAAAGGGCCGGGCACAGTGGCTCATGCCTGTAATCCCAACACTTTGGGAGGCCATGGTGGGAGGATGGCTTGAACCAAGGAGTTCAAGGCCAGCCTGGGCATCAGAGTGAGACCCAGCCTTTACAAAAAATTAAGAAATTAGCTTGGTGTGGTGGTGTGCGCCTGCAGTCCCAACTACTCAGGAGGCTAAGGTGGGAGAATCACTTGAGCCCAGGAGGTCAAAGCTGCAGTGAGCTGTGAATGTGCTACTGCACTGCACTCCCACCTGGTAAGAATAAAACGCCGTCTCAAAAACAAAAACAAAACAAAACCACCAGGACCAGAAGTCAACAAAAATCTTATACAACACTGCGCAATTTGGATAACATTAAGAGGTAATGCATGAAAAAAAGAGTTTAATCAAAACAGCATCTGAGTTGGTTAAAAAAAGTTCAATGTTTTGTTTGTTTGTATGACTCTAAGTCAGAGATTACAATCTCAAATACTCACAGGGGCCAGATGAGAACTGCAAACAAGGCAAAATGGAGAACTCCTGGTCCATCACTGTTACATAAGCCAGCATTACCAAATTTTCTCAAAAGAAGCTAAAAACACAGATTGTTATGCACTCTCAATTAAATGATGCTAACTAATTTAAAAATATTTTAAATATTGTGCAGGTCCATTGTGCTGTATAACTTCTTCTAAGCTTTAAAAGTATGAATACAGCTGGATGTGGTTGTACGTGCCTACAGTCCCAGCTACTGGGGAGACTGAAGCAAGAGGATCACTTGAGCTCAGGAGTTCAAGGTTGCAGTGAGCTATGGCCACACATGTGCACCAATAGAGGAAGACCCTGTCTCTTTAACTTAAAAAAAAAAAAAAAAAGGGGCCGGGCGCGGTGGCTCATCTTATAAGCCCAGCACTTAGGGAGGCTGAGGCGGGTGGATCACCTGAGGTCAGGAGTTCAAGACCAGCCTGGGCAACATGGTGAAACCCCATGTCTATTAAAAATACAAAAATCAGCTGGGCACAGTGGCGCATGCCTGTAATCCCAGCTACTCAGGAGGATGAGGCAGGAGAATCACTTGAGTCACAGTGAGCTGAGATTGCGCCATCGTACTCCAGCCTGGGCGACAGAGCGAGAGTCCATCCCAAAAAATAAAAACCTAATACAAATCGTGACGGGGTAATTGGTCTCTTCGTAATTCTGCAAAGAACACAGTCCCTTGCAAGACTGCATTCTTCAAAAACATCAATGTCCTAAAAGCAAAAGAAGGCTGTGAAAGTGCTCCCAATTAAAGAAATCAGACATGTCCTTTGTAAGGACATGGATGAAGCTAGAAACCATCATTCTGAGCAAACTATCGCAAGGACAGAAAACCAAACACCGCACGTTCTCACTCATAGGTGGGAATTGAACAATGAGAACACTTGGACACAGGGTGGGGAACATCACACACTGTGGCCTGTCATGGGGTGGGGGGGAGGGGGAAGGGTCAGCATTAGGAGATATACCTAATGTAAATGACGAGTTAACGGGTGCAGCACACCAACATGACACATGTATACATATGTAACAAACCTGCACATTGTGCACATACACCCTAGAACTTAAAGTACAATTAAAAAAAAAAAAAAAGATGTGCAACTAATTGTATGTAACTGACCCTAAACTAGATCCTGTAGTAGAGATGGAAAAATATTATGAAAGACTTTATTGGGTTAATTGACAAAACTGAAATATGAATCAGACAAAAGTACATCAGCAGCCAGGTGCGGTGGCTCAAGCCTGCAATCCCAGCACTCTGGGAGGCCAAGACAGGCTGATAACGAGGTCAAGAGACTGAGACCATCCTGGCCAACATGGTGAAACCCCGTCTCTATTAAAAATAGAAAAAATTAGCTGGACGTGGTGGCGCACGCCTGTAGTCCCAGCTACTCGGGAGGCTAAGGCAGGAGAATTGCTTGAACCCCGGAGGCGGAGGCTGCAGTGAGCCGAGATTGCGCCACTGTACCCCAGCCTGGCGACAAAGCCAGACTGCGTCTCAAAAAAAAAAAAAAAAAAGTACGTCAGCAATGTTTTAAATCTAAGTTGAATCTGTACTGTACTGTGCTTATAAAAGAGAAAATCCTTATTTTTAAGAAATACACCTTACATATTTAAGGTAAAGGGATAAAAGGTAAAATTTTATGAATTTTAGTCTCAAATAGTTCATAAAAAACATTATGTTTGTATATATATAAATATACACAGGCTGGGTGCAGTGGCTCACGTATGCTAATCCCAACACTTTTGGAGAGCAAGGTGAGAGGATAACTTGAGGCCAGGAGTTTGAGAACAGCCAGGGCAACGTAGTGAGACCTCTATGTCTACAAAAATACAAAATCAGGCATGGTGGTGCACGCCTGTCGTCCCAGCTACTTGGGAGGCTGAGGTAGGAGGATCACTTGAGCTCAGGAGATTGAGGCTGCAGAGAGCCAAGGTTGCACCACTGCACTCTAGCCTAGGTGACAGAGCAAGACCCTCTCTCTTAAATAAACAGCACCCATAATAATAAAGCAAATGGAGGAAAAATGGTAATCTGGGTAAAGTATATAAGGTGTCCTTTGTACTGCACTTTTATTCTTGCAACTTTCCTAAAGTTTGGAATTAATTTTTTTAAACCAATTTTACAAAATGGTCCCTTTTTAAAAACTCTAAAATGTGTGAATAAAATCTGCAGGGTTTCAGAAAAGCATTTCTTTGTGCCAATATTTCAAACCTTTCACTCTCTGAGTGAGTCTGAATTCTGAAATGCATGTGACCACACATTAGGTTATGTTACACTTGCTCAGCTTGGATCACAGAAGGCTCCTAAAGTGCCTTGCAACTTGAGTGTCAGCAGCTACAAGACCTCCCCTAATTAATCTTTCAGGAATCTCAACTGGTGACTCAGGAGAAGAGCTCTCTGTAAATCCACAATACTCACCAGCTGGCCAGAGAATAGCAGAAACGAAGGCTAGCCCAGTGCCCAAACACAGGAACATGAGGGGAACTATCTCAGCCCAAGGCAGTTCCTATGAACAGCCCTAGGGTAGGGAAGCAATATGAAAAAGAAGACAGATCCCACTCTGCAAGGAACTAAGAGGTTCTACTCAGGAAAAGAAAGGTCCATATATGCTACTGAAGGTTGCCAACTTTGGGGAATTCTTAAGACTGATAAGTGGCGGGGCACAGTGGCTCACACCTGTAATCCTAGGAGACCGAGGCTGGAGGACTGCTTGAGCTCAGGAGGTTGAAACCAGCCTGAGAAACATAGTGAGACCCCATCTATACAATAAATTTTTAAAAACTTAGCTGGGCATGATAGCACATGCCTGTAGTCCCAGCTACTCGAGTGGCTTAGGTGGGTCAATTAAGTCCAGCAAGCCAAGGCTGCAGTGAGCTGAGATCAAGCCACTGCACTCCAGCCTGAGCAACAGAGTGAGACCCTGTCTCAAAACAAAACAAAACAAAAAGGCTGACAAGACTATGAGCCAGTAACCAGAGTAAGCGCAATGTATTATACAGTGACTGAAAAAAACGCTGGCTTCTGCACACACAAATAAGGCCATTAAAATAGGAAGTCAAGAATTCAAGCATAGCACCATTTAACTTGCAGTCAAGAGACCAAAGGAATGTAGCCAGATGGTGAAGTAATGATTACATGCATGGATTTCCCAGGGTGTAATCAAGGTGGACATTTCAGGAAAGATACTCAAAAGGCCATTAGACCAGTAAGCAGATAATAGTCTCCCAAGCAGACCAGGAGACTGGGGCAGAACAAAAGCCTTCTAAGATGCCAAGTGCAGGTTTGCTTACAGTTACTATTTCTCCAAAACACAAATGAAAACTGAATGCGCTCTAGCAGGGCAAAATTAAGTACTTTTCTGTAAGGCTCTGTAATACCCTACATTTATTTAATGTCACAAAATCTTAGCATAGTTTCTAATAATCCTGTTGGGTAGATGGTATTATTTTTTTTTTTGGAGATGAGGAAATGGGTTTTAAAATCTCAAATGACTTGCCTTAGGCCACTTACTAAAGAGTAATAATATTTTACAACAGAGCATATGTACCTAGAGCTCTTAATAGAAGCCATGGACAACTGTTTAACATGAGAACCCCTGAACTGGTATACAAAGTTTTGAATATCTACATTTTTGAGAGAAGCTATAGAATTCAGATTGTCAACGGGATCCACACCCTCTCCAAAAAATGACTTTAAAAATTATTTCTCAAAAAAAATCAAATAATTTCATATCATATAAATCGAACTTTTTAAATTAAAAAATCAACATATAAATCTATGTTATAAAGAAACTCCACATTAAGTCCACAAATTAAATTTTTCTGGCTTATGAACTGCAACATTAAAATTATACAGAAACAACAATATGTAATTTCTTACCAAAATGGATGTTCAGCCAATATAATTTTGCCATAAAAATAGCAAATCTACATTTGTTCCTTGCTTACTACAATACCAAATACCTGTGTACTTGTTATTTATACATATTTTTCTGAAAAAAATCAATGGGCTAATTGGGTTAACCCGATGGAAGAAGCTGAGATTTATCCCAAGCAAAAGCTCGAGTATACGTGGACCCCTTCCATGTGTTAAACTGAGAATCTTGAGTTTCCAATGCTGCTGCTGCTATTGCAACAGGTCAAGGTAGACAGTCACCCGAGCTAGTAAGAGAGACAGAAGCAGACTAAGGGACCTGGAGTAGACTAAAGACACAACGAAGGCAGTCCTAGAAATGCTGACAAGTTTGAAACTACTAGATTGAATAATTTCCCCCATGAAAGACTTACTGTTTTTTCAGCTGCCTCTGGCCTCTTCTTTTTGGGCTCCCACTCTCAGACCCGCTACTTGCCTTCAGTGTGTGAGGGGGGAAAAATGATTACAGACTTTAATTCACAGTTCTTCGGGACAACACTATCTCCTGGATCAACAGTCTACTCAATATACCATTATTCAATATGAGCTTTTAGACACAAAGAAACCTAAGCACTTGCTTGGTGGAACTCCCTCTTCTTTTGATTTGAAAATTAATATCTCTCTGCTATCACTGAGTTATCTCTAAAGCCAGGAAATATTTATCTCAGCTTGACTTCCAGAACAGCAATATCCAATAACTTTCTGCAACGATGTAAATGTCCTGTATCTACAATGTCCAATACAGTACCCATCAGCCACATGTGACTACCAAGCGCTTAAAATGTGACTGGTGTGACTGAGAAATGGAAGTTTTATTTTTAACTAATGCGAATTTTAAAAGCCACATGTGAGTAGTGGGGACCATACTGGATACTGCAGATTGAGACTATCAAATAAAAATGCCACAACATTTAGTCAGTGTGCCTTAAAGGCACCAACTACTGATGTATTCATTTTAGACTCATTTAAGAGTATGTTCACTCATGAGCCAACAGTGCTCTGCTAACAGCACTAGGCCAAGGAAAGCTTACAGTCACAGACATTTCAGTAGCTCTTTCTCTCCACAATTAAGGAAAATGGCAAACTATTCCTATTGCTGTTAATCTTGTACCCTACAGAGAATGTGTTAATTAATATGTAAAAGAGGGAAAGATTTCTACAACTATGTGATTGGTTTTAACAAACATGGCTCAGTAACCTAGTGCGAGACACTATGGAAAACAAAAGCAAAGGCAAAACAGCTCAGAGGTCACTCAAAATAAAACATCACAAATGTAATGCAGATGTTAGGGTGAATTAGATTTTTAAGGTACATTTATTTAAAAACCCACACCCAACTCACTGACCTGTGGCTATCAATATTTAACTTTCATCAGAAGTACGTTATATAGCTAAGACTAGCAAAGTCCTCCCAAGAAAGCAGAAAGTAGACATTTCATTGAGACAAAAGAATCTCTCTTCAGGATCTAGTCTATAAACCTAATTCAGAATAAGAATCCACAAAAATATCACACAAAATGAGAAAGGTGAAAGAAGTCTGATTCTATAGACAACCAAGCCTGGTATAGAATACCAATTTAAAAAAATCACTGATCAATCTCTCACAATTAGAGTAAGTATGTTTGAAACTCATTTTATTATATCTCACACTAAAAATGAGCAAGGAAACCAAATTTAAGAAGTTAAATAAAAGTAGATACATTAATTAAGCACTCCCTCCTCTTTCAGGAATAAATCCCAAACTATTTCTATTGCTCTGTTTGTTTACCAAACAAGTTACCCATTTAATAAATATCTAGGAGATTTAGAAGTTAGGGGCTTAAAAAGGTAAACTTCTTGCTATATATAATCAATTTTCACTATGAGAGACAACTTAAAAAATAAACCATTTTGAGGTCAGTTCTGTATAATACTCTACTAAAAAATTCACTATTATATGATCTTTCTGGTTAGATTCTTTTATTTGATTATTAACTTCTTGCCTTACTGTATCTGGTCATAGATAGCTCATATTAGAGTCACTTAACCCTCATGCCTGAAGTTCAGTCTTTTTAATGGTAATACATACCAGAGTCAGAAAGAATGAAGTAAGATAGGGAGTTTAAATGCATGCCCTTAAAACATTTTTTCCTTACCTCTTCCTTAATATTAAATCGCGATGGTTCTTGTCTGCTTCGGTTTGACCGCCTGACCCCATAAACATCAGGATATTCTTCCCACATCTGTAAAATTAAGAGACCACGCATTAATCTTTTTTCTTGACCCCCATTATTATTATCAAACGTTTATTGCAATTGAAGAGAATTCAAGTAACCAAGTATCAAAAGGGTTGTTTTGCTAGTTCTATTTATGAGACAATAAAGCGCCATTTTTTTTAAAATAGGCATATTATCCTAGGAAATATTAGTTTAACAATGTCTTCATTACTTAACAGCTATAAATCTATATGGTACACCGCTTACCCATCATTAAAATATACAGCTGAATAATACAGAAAGGTAAGACAGCGGCTGCTTCCACTAAAGACAAAGTATTTACTGATACATTTTAAATTCCCTACTGCTTTGAGTTTCAGTCTTGACTGCACTAACCCACACCTGTGAAACTGAAAATACAAGCGGCAAAGCCCCCATTAAGTCTAATTAAGTAAGAATCAGGAATTTGTATTTTTCTTTAAGTTCCTCAGGTCATGTAACATCCCAGATAAACGCAGATGAGGCATTGCTAACACTTAGCTAGAAGTTCTCAGAATGAGAACCACTGCCACCCTTTCTCTAACACATCTATTTTTTATTCTGTAGCAGTAATTAGCCCTTTGCCTTTAAGACCTGATTTTTGTAGACCTGTAACAACCTTTAAGACCTGTAACAATCCTCACCAGTGATTTAAAAAGTTTAAAAGACAGATTAGTTGAGGAGAAAAATCATTTTCACTTTCTTCCCCAGAGATAACTACTACTAAGTATATTCTGTATTCTTTTAACAGAATCACACATAAGCAAAAGGAATTTGAATGGATTGTGGAACACTGACATGAAAAGGTGTAACAGAAATTAAGCAAGTAGCAAAAGCTGAGATGAGAAATATGGGTTATCAAATTACAGGTGACAGCTAACGTCATGAGAATATTTGGAAAAGTAAGGTTCAGAACATGCACAAAAGAAGCCACTAGCTGAGACTTGTGAAATGTTTGTATTTAAAAGTGTAGGGCCAGGCATGTAATCCCACCACCCTGGGAGGTCCAGGCAGAAGAATGGCTTGAGTTCAGGAGCTCAAGATCAGCCTGGGCTACGTAGGGAGATCCTGTCTCTACAACAAAATTTAAAAATTAGACAGGTGTGTCAATACGTGCCTGTAGTCCCAGCTACTTGGGAGGCTGAGGTGGGAGGATCACTTGAACCCAGAAGATCAAGGCTGCAGTGAGCTGTGATTGCACCACTGCACTCCAGCCTGGGGGACAGAGCAAGACCCTGTCTCATCTTTATGAAAAATGATCCAACAATGTCACTAAGAAAGGACATTATCAACAATGACTTTAACAACAACAACAACAACATAAAAATGATGAAGTAAGCTGAAGAAAATCAAGGCTTCAAAAGAAAAGATGGCCCAGAATAGGCATTTTACAACTAGAATCCAATGTAATCACATAACCCAAAGTCCACAGATTCTGTAACGGCCTTAGCATCACCTTGGAGTTAAAGGACAAAAGGTCCAAACAGAAGGAGTTAGGAATAACCAAATGGTAGGAAATATAGGTAGAGGCAGTAAACATAAAACACTCTGAAAAAACCTGGCAGAGAAAGGAAGGAGGGAAAGTGCGCTTTACTCTAGCCTGTCTATCCATGCCCACACCTGGCCCTCTGCTAGAGCTATGAAAGTTTTTACTCAACACAGGTTTTTATGGAGCCCTTATTAACTGGGAGGGCAAAATCATTTCAGTGTTACTACATCAACTAGTTTTATCACTTCAAGATACCAGCCAGGCATTCTAGCTCAACTATTATGACTTTATTACAGCATATATTATAATGTTTACATCCTAAAATTATCTTGTGTTCTTATTTGTCCTTTTGAGAGCCGATATCTAAGTCAACTCCTCCATGAAAAATCTACTATGTGGAGTTACTCACTACTGAGTACTCTTACATGAGTAATAAGCTTTTGGAGGGGGACAGAGAGCTACCATGTGAAAAGGAGGTGTACATAGAAAACCAAGAGCCTTCCTTAGAAGTTCTCATTTTAGGATAATGATTATCAAAGGCACAGTGCAATCATTCTGACTGGCTTGTAGGTCCATCCAACCTATAACTACATATTATTAACTTTCCGGAACTGCTCACTTTAACCTTAAAAATATATTTTAGGCTGGGCATGGTGGCTCAGGTCTATAATCCCAGCACTTTGGGAGGCCGAGGCAGGTGGATCACCTGAGGTCAGAAGTTCAAGACCAGAATGGCCAACATGATGAAACCCAGTCTCCGCTAAAAATACAAAAATTAGCTGGGCGTGGTGGCAGACACCTGTAATCTCAACTACTTGGGTGACTGAGGCAGGAGAATCACTTGAACCTGGGAGGCGGAGATTGCAGTGAGCCAAGATCGTGCCACTGCGCACTCCAGGCTGGGCAACAGAGCAAGACTCTGTTGCAAAAATAAATAAATAAAGTTAAAAACCAAGCGTATAAAAATTTGTCTTTCCTCCCTATAATTGGATGGTTCAGGTCATTTATTTTCCTTAATAGAGCAGAAAGAAGTCTTCATTTGTATCCTCAGATATACTACTGTATATTACTAGAAAAAATGGCTGTAGGTTTCATCATCAAGATATACTAATGAGTTTTCATGAACAACAAAGGTCTGCTAGCTTGTCCTAGGCTAGCAGCACATTTGTACTGCAGGGCAAAGTAGATACCTTCTTCACATCAGCTATCCGTTCCTTCTTAGAGGCTGGCTTCTCTTTGGCTTCTGGGAGGACTGGCTGGGATTTGGAACCTGCTGATTCGCTCTCAGATTCCGACTGACTCTCAGAAGATTCAGAGCTGCTGTTCGACTCGCTGCCATGTCCACTTCCTGGATCACTTCCCTGCTCACTTTCCGACTGACTGCCTGAGTCTGAACCCGAAGCTTCTTCAGAGGCTGAGTGACTTATTTTGAGAGAGAGAGAGATTTAAAAATATTTAAGAACTGACACATGAATCTGCTTAAAAAAAAATTCTCATGGTAAAACATTTGCAGATAGTAATTTTAGTAATATAAGACCAAAATCTTCAAATTCACATTTATACTTTTACATTCCAAATAACGTTATTGCTACCATTCTCAAAATCCCCAATAGCTACCCTTTCCTGAATGTTTACATGATGCTACAGAACAGGTTATTTCTATGGACAGGCTCTTGACAGAAACTCTGAACATGGATATTACTGTCCCCTTCATTCAAATGAGGCTGAACTGAGGCTCATAAGTATTTAACTCTCACACCTAGTTAACACAGTAAGATTTGAAACCAGATATATATGAATCCACGAAGTCTTATCTGTTAAGTATCATTCCCCTCTCAACAAGAAAAAAACAAAACACAGAACAAAACCAAACCAAGCAGGCCGGGCGCGGTGGCTCATGCCTGTAATCCCAGCACTTTGGGAGGCCGAGGCGGGCGGATCACGAGGTCAGGAGATCGAGAGCATCCTGGACCACACGGTGAAACCCCATCTCTATTAAAAATACAAAAATTAGCTGGCTGTGGTGGCACACACCTGCAGTCTAAGCTACTCGGGAGACTGAGGCAGAAGGATCGCTTGAACCTGGGAGGCAAAGGATGTAGTGAGCCAAGATCACGCCACTGCACTCCAGCCTAGAGACAGAGCGAGACTTGGTCTCCAGAAAAAAAAAAAAAAAAAAAACAAGCTGGACACAGTGGCTCAAGCCTATAATCCCAACACTTTGGGAAGCCTAGGCAGGAAGATTGCTTGAGCCCAGGAGTTCAAGACCAGCCTGGACAATATGCAAAACCCATCTCTTCAAGAAAATGTTTAAATTAGCTGGGTATGATGGTGCATGCCTGCGATCCCAGCTACTCGGGAAACTCAGGTGGGAGGATCATTTGAGCCTAGGAAGTCGAGGATGCAGTGAGCCATGATTACGCCACTGTACTCCAGCCTGGGTGTCACAGTGAGACCCTGTCTCCAAAAAACAAAAACAAAAAAAACAAAGCATCTCACCCAAAGAGGAAGAATGCAAACTGGTTGCAATTATCCAATCGTGGTTCTCACTAATAGGAGCAAATTAGGCTCATCTGAGGAGCTTTATAAAAATTTATACACATTAACTTCAATCCAGAGGCCCTGCCTTATAATCTGCAGTGAGATCCAGAAGTGGTAGACTTAACAGAAGTAAGTAAACAAAAAGGGCACTCTGATGCTAATGAGAACACCCAACCCAATAAAGACGGCTACTGGCCTCCACACATCTCCCTTCCCTTCTTCATTCCAAACATCCCATAGGGAGCAGCAACCTAAGTAGGTAGATGTCATCTAAAGGAACAAAACAGAAACCACAGAGACTGAGGGGTGATAGAGTATCAATCTCAAGCACAGAGAAAACAATATCCTCATCTTCCTCTAATGGTGAAAAAGCAACTGAGGGGCATGCTGGTAGAGGGGAAGATACTCTGAAGCAAAAAGACCTCAAACGGATGGACTCTACAGCAAGAGGTGGACTGTTTACTCTTGCTTAAAAACTACCCATCTTTGCTCTGAGGGGGGCAAGGAAAAACCCAGAACCTACAGTAACATTAACAGAAAAGTCCCTGAGTTCAGAAGCCAGGAGATAAGACACGTGGCACAAAACCTGAAAGGGTAAGGGGAAGTTCTATATTTACCATCACTGCATCTTCTAGAGGTGCACAGGGCAGTACACTGCAAACTGGGACTGCTGCAAATAACACCATGCGATCCACAGCACATTACAATACGGAGGCCTTTCAGTTACCATGAGGAAGCAATGAGAAAAAATGGGAGAGCAGGGGTCGAGGGGAGGTTCTCAATACTGGGAAGTGGGGAAAGATGAGAAAAACCATGTAACTTCCTGATCACCTAACAGGTATCAGACACTAGGCTAAGTACTTTATATGTATTATTTTGCTTATTCCCAAGGACAATACTATTAGGCATTATTATCACCATATGAATGACGAAAAAAACTGACCTCTTTTATGTAACTTGGCCAATGGACAAAACTAGAAATTGAGGAAGAGGGTGAGGGGCCGGGATTCCAATCCAAGTGTGGATCTAAAGCTCATTTCTTTCTATTTTACCATAGGGGGCCAAAAGATTAGAGACTCAGAAAACATTATTAACTCTTATCCCTGTTACACAAGGTCCCAAAACAGGCTTCCTTGTAACAAGTGACTCAACAGTTTCAAGACCTCATTACAATTACTGACTCCTTAACCCCTTGCACAGTCCAAGCTGACTAGTCCAGGTGACTAAAGCATCTGAGTCATTTACTTTATACCTGTGACCAGGCAGGTTGTCAACAGGAAAGAAAAAAGGAAGAGGAGAGCTGGATAGTGATAGGAACACTTAAAAGCTGTGGGCTCTGGCATCGCAGCTTCCATTTCAGTCCTAGCTCACCTCAGGCCTGTGTCATCTTTTAACTTGTGTCAACCTATGTGACATCTACCAGTAGTGTCATAAGAACATCTAATGGCAGCTATGAAAGCAGTGCCCTATAAATGCCAAAGCCCTACCCAAACAGGAAATCTGAGCATATCACATCCAAGCTGAGATTCCCCTTCTAACACAAAATTCTCCCCAGCTAACACCCATTAGTGAGTCGTTACCCCACAATCCATGACACTAGCTGGAATTTATTAGTTTTGCCTCCACTATTTGTTCATGGACAGACAGGTACAGAGACAGCTCCAGAATTTCCTTGTAAGTAAGGAAGGGATTTATTTAATAGAAAGGGCAGTCTACTTGAAAGGGATGTTAGGCAAGGCAGTACCTGGAAACTGTATTCCCATAGCAAAGGCAGCTGAAGGCTTGTTCACCTCCCAGGCATCCGGGTCTTCTGGTCACTGATAACATCCAATTTCAGCATGCCCTATAAAACCTGGCCTCTGACAATTTCTCAAGGCACATGACTTAATCATTTCTTCCCTCACCCCCACTGCTCCAGACTCTAGACCTAGCATTGCTCCCCTCTAGCTCCTGCACCCACTGCGGACACAGCAAATTAAATACCTCTCTAATTTTGTGGGCTTAGGTATCACCTTCTCCCAGAAAACATCCTTTGGTCTCCTATCCTAAGCTCAATACCTATCAGATACTTCCACAATACTGACATATGTCACAGCAGTTACCACCACCGAGATGGAAAACAGGCAGCCACATCTCAAGTCTGAGCTTCAATTACCATGCCCTGCTGGCTCTCTATACTTTTAGCAATGACACACATGCTGACCTAGAAAGACTCACTCCAAAGCTCCGGCAGCTGTTAACATCTACACTACCTTGCCTCCACTTGTCCCATACTATCGAGTAATCTGGCCGCTTGTCAACCTCCCCAATAAACTTGCAAACTAAGCATATCTCCTTTGATGTTCTTTGTGCCTGGTATATTAGAGAAGGATTCAATTGCACATTCATTTGCTAGAATGTGCAATTTGCCTCCCCTTTGAAATAACGTATTTAGTTTTTCAACTACTATAATGTTTAACTCCAGACAAAAGTTTAAGAATAGAATCATGTTTTGGCAATCACCACCAATAAAACTGTCACAGACAACAGGTCTACACACTACTAGGAAACAGAAAACTCCAACAGCAACAAAAAGACTGAAAATCTTTACCAACTAGAGACCCACAAAAGGCAGCATTAGTTTACTGAAGATAACTAGAACAGCCCAACTAGAAATGTTTATAGTGTTCTGTGTTGAAAAGTGGGAAGCACTGCAGATAGGATGTAATGGAATGCCAATGCCCGCATCAGGATATGTCTATATGGATGCCCATCTCATTCCCTTTGAACTGGTTTATACTATAAATTCACTACATTTTATATAACATTCCCCTATTAACGGTACATTTAGGTTATTTTCAGATTTTTCACTTAATCAATAAGTTGCAAATATCTCTGATACACTTTCCATATTTCTGAGTAGAGTATTTGTATTTGGAAACTGTTGACTGTAACCATAAATATCTTTCTTTCTACGTATCTTCTTGTGCAGCTATGTGTTTTTGAGTTTGTGTAGGAGAGTGATTCCTAGAAATGTAACAATGCACACAACAATACCTTCTGGGGAAAAAAAAAAGCCGTTTTTCTGTCAGCATATATCTATGTGTATAAATGCATTTTAATCACCACATTGCTAACACTGGTTTACTCTGTTAGGGATGGGTTATTTGAAGTATACTTGTGAGTTCCATGGATTACTTGTGTAATTTCAAAAATAACAACAATGAAAATCAAACCCAAGAAAAGATTAACACCAAGTTCACAACTATATTTGCCTTTAGGGGTTGAGGGAGGCAGATGCTCTCAGGGAATGATACTAGTGACATTTTATGACTGAAACTTAGTAGTGAAGCTTAATAGTGAATTCACAGCACTTCATTATATACCTTAAGTATTTTTAATGTCTAAACTAGTTAATTGTCTAAAGTAAGTCTAATCATGAGAGCCAAATCCAAACCAAGGGCGGCAAGTACATCCCACCCTACACAAAACCAGCAAAGATTTGAATGAGTGTTTTTAAAAAGTGTTTTTAGGCCAGGCGCGGTGGCTCACGCCTGTAATCCCAACACTTTGGGAGGCTGAGATGGGAAGATCATGAGGTCAGGAGATGGGAGACCATCCTGGCTAACACGGTGAAACCCCATCTCTACTACAAATACAAAAAATTAGCTGGGCATGGTAGTGTGCCTGTAGTCCCAGCTACTCGGGAGGCTGAGGCAGAAGAATCACTTGAACCCAGGAGGCAGAGGTTGCAGTGAGCCGCAATCGTGCCATTGCACTCCAGCCTGGGCAACAAAGCAAGACTCCGTCTCCAAAAAAAAAAAAGTGTTTTTAAATTGTTTTTGGAACCAGAATCAGATGTAAGACTGAATACAAGTACTAATGAGGGGAACTGCTTAAAGAAGAAAAAAAAAAGCCTTAACAAAGTCATTACTTAATTTTCATACTTCTCGTAAGAGGAATAATCACTAAATAAACTGGAAATGGAAAATGAGATCGTGCCACTGCACTCCAGCCTGGATGACACAGCCAGACTCCGTCTCAAAAAAAAAAAAAGTGTAATTATGGGCCGAGCATGGTGGCTCAAGCCTGTAATCCCAGCACTCTGGGAGGCCCAGGCGGGTGGAACACCTGAGGTCAGGAGTTCAAGACCAGCCTGGCCAACACGGTGAAACCCAGCCTGTACTAAAAAAACAATTAGCCAGGTATGGTGGCATGCACCTGTAATCCCAGCTACTTTGGAGGCTGAGGCAGGAGAATCGCTTGAACTCAGGAGGTGGACGTTTCAGTGAGCCGAGATCACACCACTGCACTCCAGCCCAAGCATCAACAGCAAAACTCTGTCTCAAAAAATATATATATATATGTATGTATATATATGTGTGTATGTATATATATGTATATGTGTATATATGTGTGTATATATAGCGTACATGTGTATATATACGTATATATATATTCATATTATTCCCTTAAAAAAACGACATTTCCTAAAAGACTATGTAGAATTGCCATTAATACCTAATAATTATAATAGTAAATACTATTAGTACTAAGCTGTAGCTTTAGTGCTGGTTTAGTAGAGGAGGCAGAAAGCCCACAAGACTAATAGAAAGGGTCAAACTGAGTTAGTGAGTGGAGTCCTTTAAGCCTTCACCTAAATAACAAAGTAATAAAATTAGCTGACTACCAGTGGCTTACTAGTTACAGGGCAATTAAACATTGGATTTTCAGGAATGACTATCCAACATATATACAGAATCTTCACGAAAAACAACTATCTGAAAATTATTCAACATCTAAATTGCAAACAACTTTTATAATTTTTTACTTAACAAATAATTAAAAGGAAAATACAACACACAGATAAAAAAACAAGTCAAAACTGGGAATTCAGATTCCAATCAAAAATAAATGCTGATGAGAAAAAGGTTTACCACTTCCTTTTGCTTGTGGATAAAAAGAATTTGGTATCTCTTCAAAATACTTTCTGAAGTAGGTAAAAACGGAGTGATTAACCTTCTTGGAACTGGACTTTGAAACGAAGTGCCATTAACACTTACTGTTCCATTTTTAATCGCGGTTTCCCAAATGGCCACAAGAGGGCAGCACAGCAACATTCCACTTAAAAGGAGCCAGCCTGTGGGAGCCCCGCCCAAAAGCCGCCATTTCACTTTAGTGTTTATTTTGCTAACTTACAAAATGGCCGAACTGGTTGGCAGAGCTTAGTGTTTTTGTGGGTGAAAGCAAAATCTGGCAAAACAATCACAAAGCAATCTACACTGGAATTCCATAAAACTTATTTCCAGGCTAACTTCCTGCCAGTGATACAATAGCTAATATTTACGGAGCACTTTTGTGTCAGGCATATGTCAAAATTCTCCTAATCCTTACCTATAAAGAAGACAAAGCCCAAGAGTGTGTGTGTGTATGTGCGTGTGTAAGATATCACCCCACAGTCTGAATTATGCAATCCACACTATCAACTATCAGCGTTAGGTATCACTGCCCTTATTTACATACATTCTTCAGTTGAACTGATTATTAAACCGATGTCATTGCATAACTATTCCTTCTCAGTCACTTCTATGTGTCTTAAGATGGAAAAGCAAAGAAGACTGACTGGTCACACCTTTTTTTTCTTTTTGCTTGTTTGTTTTTTGAGACCAAGTCGCGCTCTGTAGCCCAGGCTGGAGTGCAGTGGCGTGATCTCGGCTCACCGTAACCTCCGCCTCCAGGGTTCATGCGATTCTCCTGCCTCAGTCTCCAGAGTAGCTGGAATTACAGGCATGCCCCACTGCACCTGGCTAATTGTTTTGTATTTTTAGTAGAGACAGGGTTTCACCATGTCGGCCAGGCTGGTCTTGAACTCCGGACCTCAGGTAATCTGCCCGCCTTGGCCTCCCAAAGTGCTAGGATTACAGGCATGAGCCACTGCGCCTGGCCACACATTTCTTATTGGTAAAGAATACTGGATGTAGTTCTTTAAACTCTCCACCTTTGGTTCAAGTCCTGTGCTTCTTCAGAATAAGTTATTACTATAAACAAGGTTAAAAGACAAGTAACTTGTTTCCCAGACGGACTGGGAAACAAAATTTCAATGTACACATAACAAAGTATATAGATACACAACATATGAAGAATTACCTATCAAAAATCCAACCAAAAACTGCACAAAGAAAATGGATACGCAATTACGGAGAAGAAACTGAAATGGCCAATAAACTCATTTTTAAAAATAACTAAACCTCTGTTAACTTGGGAAACATTATAACTGGTTATTTTGCACTCATCTGCTTTGCAGAAATTAAAGTCTCTTAGTATTAAATAATTGTAAGAATAGCCAGTAACCCTTAAAATGTATACGAATCAGCCAGGAGCAGTAGCTCATGCCTGTAATCCCAGCAATTTGGGAGGCCGAGGTGGTCAGATTAGGAGGTCAGGAGACTGAGACAATCCTGGACCACATGGTGAAACCCCGTCTCTACTAAAAATACAAAAATTAGCTGGGCGTGGTGGCACGCGCCTGTAGTCCCAGTTACTCGGGAGGCCAAGGTAGGAGAATCGCTTGAACGTGGGAGTTGGAGGTTGCAGTGAACTGAGGTTGCACCATTGCACTCCAGCCTGAGCAACAGGGTGAGACTCCAACTCAAAAAAATAAAAAAGTGTATGAATCCTGTAATTCAATTTGTGGGCATGTAACGTAGACAAATTATCAAACTTGTATAGGACGAGGCAAATAAATATTCAGAGCTCTGTTCATAACAAAACCTAAATAATCCATATACCCATTTATGAAAATGTAAAAGTAAAATGTGAAATATTCACACTATGCAACTAAATGCAGCAGCTAGATTAGGGCTGAATTATGTCTGTAAATACTGTGAGCCCAAAAGTATCTGAAACAGAGCTCAATCAATTTAGAAAGTTTATTTTGCCAAGGTTAAGGACGTGCCCGTGACACATCCTCAGGAGGTCCTGATGGTATGTGCCCAGGGTGATGGGGCACAGCTTGGTTTTCACACATTTTAGGGAGACATGAGACATCAATATGTGTAAGATGCACACTGGTTTGGCCTGGAAAGGCCGGACAACTGGAAGCAGGGGAGGGGGCTTCCAGGTCATAGGTAGATAATAGACAAACAGTTGCATTCTTTTAAGTCTCTTGATTAGCCTTTCACTGAATACACAAGTTCCATGTGAGAAGAGAGTAGAGGCATAGTCATTTATGCCTCAGTCTGGCTTAGCAAAACAACAGGGCAGAGGAAGCAATCAGATACGCATTTGTCTTAGGTGAACAGAGGGGATGGCTTTGAGTTCTTTGTCCACAAGGAATTTCCCTGTGGGCAAATTGTTAGGGAGGTATGTAGCATTTTTATTTTTCTAGCTATCTTATTTAGGAAAAAAATGGGAGGCAGGTTTGCCTGACACAGTTCCCAGCTTGACTTTTCCCTTTGGCTTAGTAATTTGGAGATACCGAGATTTATTTTCCTTTCACAATATCAAAAAGAAAATTTCAAAACTATTAAATTTTTAAAACACAAAACATATTTACATAACCATGTACATTTTATAAGTGCCAACTCTTTATATGCCAAAATCATAAAAGTGACCCTAGCTATGTCTAACTTTTTTATTTTAAAACTTTATTAGGCCGGGCGTGGTGGCTCACGCCTGTAATCCCAGCACTTTGGGAGGCCGAGGCAGGCAGATCACAAGGTCAGATGGAGACCATCCTGGCTAACACGGTGAAACACTGTCTCTACTAAAAATACAAAAAGTTAGCCGGGCATGGTGACACATGCCTGTAGTCCCAGCTACTCGGGAGGCTGAGGCAGCAGAATGGCGTGAACCCGGGAGGCGGAGCTTGCAGTGAGCTGAGATCGCACCACTGCACTCCAGCCTGGGCAACAGAGCGAGACTCTGTCTCAAAAAAAAAAAAACTTTAATTATATCCTTTGAACTTTTCTGAATTCTTAATTTCTGACAAAAGAGGTCTGTTTCTAACACTGTAGAACTGATCAGTTCTAAGGTGCAGGCCCCTCCCCAGGATTCAGCAGTGCTCTCAGCAGTCACCCTAACACACGCAACACTACGGACCCTCCTTCCAGTGTTAAACAGAATCTATGGAAGGCCACTAATTTGGACCGAGCTCCTAGACCCTAACAGACCAAACCAAAATAGAGTCACTCATGTTAAACTTCTAAATTGTTTACCTTACCTTCAGGAAAGAAGATACCCAAATCCCCAGACAGACAGTGTGAGCTGGCATAAGGAAGTTCCCTCTGCTTTAACCCTTATAAGGAAAATAACCTCAAGTAACCTGATGTTAACCCACATTTTTGTACTATGTTGTTTTCCTGTTCCTGCTCAACCTTATAAAAACCGATTGTTCCACCATGCCCAATGGGCACCTATTTTTTTATAGATGGGGTGCTACCTAATTTGTTAATCAATAATAAAATCCAATTAGATCTTTATACTCAATGTGTTGAAATGTTGTCTTTTGACAGCAGAAAAAGGTACATGTATAAGAAAAAGTGCACACAAAATGCTGCTTATAATTTCAAGGGATAAAAAGGCTAAATTCCATCAAGTACCTCCCAGATTAAGAAATCCAGCAGTAAGGACAGAAAAAAAAATTTACCTTTAATCAGTGTATTTCTAAAATTCACAGCTGAAGCCAGGCAGGCATCACCTTAGCCTCATCATGCATACTACTTCTGCTCCCCAATAACCAAATATAAGTAGTTTCCATAGCACCAAACTATTAGCACCCAGGCATACATTAGAGAAACATGTATTCTAGCAAGAAGCCTGGTTAAGGTACAAATTAGTTAAGGCACTTCACAAATACCTACCTAATCAGGATCTGGCAATGTGCTAATACACAAAAGACAAAAGAAGCTTTCTATTCAGGTAAAATCAAAAGTCTTTGTAAATAACCAAGCTGTGAAAAGCAGTTACAAGGGGAGTTCTCCCCAGAATTCATTAACAAAAGAATACTTAACCACCTCGGGCAATGTATTTACACCCATTAAAGCCCTAAGGACAGATGGACCAATTTGACCAAGAGTTCCTTTCAGCCCTGTGAGTCTTGTCTTTAGTTAGCTATTGTTTAGGTTATAAACTTTAGACTTTTATAAAATATATGGTGCTTTCAGCAACTCCCAAAGTTCAAAGGAGATTAAAAGATCTGATTACCAATCCCAATAATAAATGTGAAACGTATGCCCATAACGTCATGGGAGTAAGAGGGGTCCCTGGATCAGGCCAGAGAAGAAACCGCAAAGGGACTCAACTTTATTACTAACAACCAACATTTACCAAGGCAAGCACGGTTTCTCAATCATAGGGTTTTTGTTTTTTTTGGATAGGGTCTTGCTCAGTTGCCCAGGATGGAGTGCACGTAATGTGATCACAGCTCACTGCAGCCGCAAGCTCTTGGACTCAAGCAATCCTCCCACCTCAGCCTTCCAAATAGCTGGGACTATAGGTGCATACTGCCACACCCGGCTAATTTTTACATTTTTTGTAGAAATGGCATCTCCCTAAATTGCCCAAGCTGGTCTCGAACTCCTAGCTCAAGGGATCCCACCTCAGCCTCCCAAAGTGCTGGGATTACAGGCGTGAACCGCCGTGCCCAGCCTAGTGGTGGCATTATAGATGCCTGAGGCTGGATAATTTGTTATTGTGGGGAGCTGTCTCATACACACTCTTGGATGTTGGGGAGCATCTCTGGCCTCTACCCACTAGAGGCCAGTAACACCCCCACCCCCAGAGTGACAAGCAAAAATGTCCAGGGTAATGGAAGGGGACAAACCTGCCACTAGTTAAAGACCACTGCCTAGAAGTATCATTTTATTTAATTTGAACTTCCTTCCCTAAGAGACAAGTACTACCCTTACTCTATTTTAAAAGATGAAGAAACAGGCTCAGACACTCCTGCCCAAGATTCTACAGCTAAAAAGCAGCAGAACAGAACAGAAAAGATCGAAACCCCGTCCCACACTGACCTTATTCCCAAACTTGCCTCAGTACAAGAATCAACTGAGGTTGCTGTTCAACATACAGATTCTTGGACACAACCCTAGAATTGCTGAATTTTTTAACTTTCAAGCAAGAAGCCTGGGAATATGTTGAACAAGCACCCCAGGTGATTTTTAGCAAGTAAACTTAAGGATTTAAACGTCTATATAAAGCTAGATTCAGAGGGAACAGACTTTTTTTTAAGCAAGGGAAAGAGAACAGTGCAAGAGTTTGATCCATTACTGCTTTCCTTTGAAATTACAATTCACCAGTCATATATTGCCTCTATTTGAATGCCAACCTGCATCTAAATGGAAGACACACTGATCATTTTAGTTTGTCAGGGCCTGGCGCAGTGGCTCACGCCTGTAATCCCAGCACTTTGGGAGGCCGAGGCGGGCGGATCACAAGGTTGGCGGATCACGAGGTCAGGAGTTTGAGACCAGCCTGGCCAACATAGTGAAACCCCTGTCTCTACTAAAAATACAAAAAATTAGCCAGGCGTGGTGGCGGGCACCTGTGGTCCCAGCTACTCAGAAGGCTGAGGCAGGAGAATCACTTGAACCCAGGAGGTGGAGGCTGCAGTGAGCCAAGATCGAGCCATTGCACTCTAGCTCAGGCAACAAAGCGAGACTCCGTCTCAAAACAAAACAAAACAAAAATACAAAAATTAACTGGGCACGGTGGTGCACACCTGTAATCCCAGCTACTTGGGAGGCTGAGGCAGGAGAATCACTTGAACCCAGGGGGCAGAGGTTACAGTAAGCCGAGACTGCGCCACTGCACTCCAGCCCAGGCGACAGAGCGAGACTCCGCCTCAAGATTGTCAACACACAACACACTCAAGAACTATTCCCCGAGACGGCAGATAAACACAACAGTTCTCAAGCCTAGCTATGCCACAGACCCACCCAGAGCTTTGGACAATTCCTCAAACCTACTACATGGCTCCCAAATCCAATCAGACAGGGAGCTTGGCTTTTAAAATTCTCCAAGTGATTCTCATGCAAAACCTGTCTGGGAACTAAGTTTCGAACAAAAAAAAACAAACTTGAAGCAAAGCACAAATCTTCAAAACGTGTGGCCAAATCCAAAGTTCATGTGTGCCAATGGACGACAAACTGCACAAAGGTGAAGTTCCGAGGCCTCCAGTACCTCCCATCTACCCATCTTTGCACATTTGTTTCTTATACTATCCCCATGAGCATCACTTCAGGGCAACATTTTAACTAGAATCTTTTGATGTAGAGTCATGGCCTTTTGAACAGCAGAATGTGTGACTGGCATCAATCACACCCACAGTGCACTGTGATTTTGAGTCTGCTTCTTTAAAATGCAAAGTGTTTAAAAAGAAGCAAACTACAGAATTATGCAAGATTTTTACTATTTTCCGCAGTCTCATATACATTAGTTTCCTCTTTTTTTGTTGATGTTGATTTTTTCTTGGGCAGGGGTTGGGGGGACACAGTCTCACTCTGCTGCCCAGGCTAGAGTGGAGTGGTGCGATCTGAGCTCACTGCAACTTCCGCCTCCCAGGTTCAAGCGTCTCTGCCTCAGCCTCCCTAATAGCCGGTATTACAGGAGTGCACCACCACATCCAGCTAATTTTTGTATTTTTAGTAGACACAGGGTTTCACCATGTTGGCCAGGCTGGTCTCGAACTCCTGGCCTCAAGTGATCTGCCAGCCTCAGCCTCCGAAAGTGCTGGGATTACAAGAATCAACCACTACACCCGGCTAAGTTTCCTCTTACCCATTAATTTGACAGCAACTTTTCACAAGATGCTTAATCAATGCTGGAGTCAAACTGCCACTGTTTGAATCCCAATTCTACCATCTACTCTCCTTGTGACTCAATTTTCTCATCTAGCAAATAGCGATAAGCATATGTACCTCAGGAGTGGTGAGAATTACATAAACTAACACATACAAAGCAATCAGAACAAGTTCTAGATTCTTAGGAGGTAGTATACATGCTATTATTTAGTCTTCCTAAAGCATTCAACTTAGTTTTCACTGAAACAATCTCTCACAATCATTTCGCCTACTGACTTGCTATTTAATTAAAATGCAAAGTTACAAGTATCATGCACCACATAAGGAAGTTTAGGTCAATGACTGGTGTCATATACAACAGTGATCCCATAAGACTGTAATACTGTATTTTAACTGTACCTTTTCTGTTTAGATACACAAATATTTACCATTGTATTACAATCACCTACAGCATTCAGTACTGTAACATGCTCTATACAGTTGTGGCCTAGGAGCAACAGGCTACAGCATAAGTGTGCAGTAGGCTATACCTAGGTTTGTGTGAGATGTTCATACAACTACAAGATCACCTAACGACATACTTCTCAGAATGTATCTCCATTGCTAAGCAACACATGACCGTACAACCAGCATAAACAAATTCAAGATGTATCTACTAATCCTTGGTAAGCACACAATGGAACTGAAGGAACAGAACGGCATGGGTAGTAAATGCTCGGCAGGGACCAGGCGCAGTGGCTCACCCCTGTAATCCCAGCACTTTGGGAGGCGGAGGTGGCAAGATCATTTGAGGTCAGGAGTCTGAGACCAGCCTGACCGACATGGTGAAATCCCATCTCTACTAAAAATAGTAAGAAGTAGCTGGGTGTATGGTGGCAAACGCCTGTGATCCCAACCACTCGGGAGGCTGATGCAGAACAATCGCTTGAACCTGGGAGGCGGAGGTTGCAATGAGCTGAGACGGCGCCACTGCACTCCAACCTAGGCAACACAGTGAGATTCCGTCTCAAAAAAATAAATAAGATCAGCAGGACCTAAGGTCACCCACAGGCCTTTAAAGGAAGAGGACTATGTAATCATTCATTTAGTGAGTTGGTTAACTTTAGGAGGGTTACTAACATTTTTGCTATACTGACTTTCATATTAAATAAAATATACATATAGCCAGGCATGGTGGTTCATGCCCAGTTCAACACCAGCCTGGGAAACGTGGCGAAACCCCCTCTCTACAAAAAATTCAAAAAATTAGCCAAGTGCAGTGGCATGTGCCTGTAGTCCCAGCTACTAGGGAGGCTAAGGCAGGAGAACTGCTTGAGCCTGGAGGGTGGAGGTTGCAGTGAACCGAAATTGTACCACTGCACTCCAGTGTGAGAGATGGGAGTGAAACCCTGTCTCAAAAGAAAAAATTTATATATATGTATATATGTGTATATATATACATATATACATACACACACACACACACACACACACACACACGTAAAACCCTTAAAACAGTCCCTTACCCAGAGTAAGCACTCAATAAATATAAATCTACTTTGGTATTTTTCTACAAAATGTTCACCATGTACAATATTCCTTCCTGATAAAATCCAAAGTGAAGGCCAGGTACGGTGGCTCACATCTGTAATCCCAGCACTTTCGGAGGTCTAGGTGAGCCCAAGAATTAGAGACCAGCCTGGGCAACATGGTCCAAACCCATCTCTACAAAAATTAGACAGGTGGGGTGGTACACACCTGTGGTCCCAGCTCCTTGGGAGGCAGAGGTGGGAAAATCCCACCTGAGACTGGGATTGCAGCACCGCACTGTGTATGAGACGCTCCCCACAATAACAAATTATCCAGCCTCAGGCATCTATAATACCACCACGAGGCTGGGTATGATGGTTCACACCTGTAATCCCAGCACAGCAGAGTGAGACTCTGTCCCAACAACAACAAAAAATCCAAAGTGAAAGATTACCAGCTAGCAGGCACTGCTAGACTTAGAAACAACCCATACAAATGGGATACACCCTGGAGTTTATTACCACATTCTTTTGTATTTTTTCAATGTCGGTCACAATTCACAACCCACCAATGTTTTTATAAACCCAAGGGAAAGGAAGTTTAGAATGGAATGTAACTGCATTCCAAGTAAATAATTCTAGAATCTAAACTTCCAAAGGATGTAAGGAGAGTACACTAAGGAAGAGACGACCACAAGAGCTTAAAGCGACTAGAAGACACTTACAAGGAATTCAGAATCTTGAGGGGAGAAAGCCCACCTGCATATACATTTTTTATCTTTTTTCTTTTTTTTTTTTTGGTCACCCTGTCTCCCAGGCTGGAGTGCAGTGGTGTGTCAGTTCATCTAACTGCAACCTCCGCCTCCCAGCTTCAGGAGATTGTCCGGCCTCAGCCTCCCAAGCAGCTGGGACTACAGGCACCCACCATCATGTCCAGCTAATCTTTGTATTTTTAGTAGAGACAGGGTTTCACCATGTTGGCCAGGCTGTTCTCGAACTCCCTACCTCAAGTGATCCGCCTGCCTGGGCCTCCCAAACTGCTGGGATTACAGGAGTGAGCTACCACGCCCAGCCTGTGTATACATTTTAAAGGTATGCCTAGAACTGGATCTGCCATGACATTTAATATAGAAACATCCTCTTCCATCAAGCCTACAATTCCCCGTCAGCATCCTATCCCACTTTTGCTTCCAGAGGTCCTAACTCAAGCAGCTATTAAGACTAAAAAGGGAATTTAAAAATGGGACAGGCAATGGAAAGACCAAGGGTTAAAGTACACGAAGTGCTCCATCAGAAGATTTGAAAACACACGGAGATACTGCAAACATACAGAAACACATGCAAATTTGAAACACAGAGAGCTTTTAAAAATTAACTAGATCCTAGGGGCAGGGATGGACACTGGTATTTTTAGAAGCTCTCCACAGTCTGAAATGGGAATAAAAAGTAGAACCCATCTGACCTATAACCCAAAAAAGACAGGAAATAGAGGAAGTAGAGGAAACCCAAAACACACAAATCTTAAGACTATAGTTTAAGCAGACTTGCATGTTCGGCATTATGCTAAGACAAATATATAGTCCTATGGTTTAGACTGAACACTGAAAGCAAGCTACAGCCAATTAGACATTGGTTGTAAATATTACTGCTGTTACATTTATATCCATGGAGCAGTGCACCACAGTATTCAGTATTCATTCTCTAACAGCTTGAGAGGGGAAATGAGACAGAGGATAAACCAGGGTAATAATTATCAGCTTGGGGGAGTGGGGGTGGGTAGTTATCTACTCAGACTAACTGGCAAAAGCCGGGCTGTGATTCACACAAGAAGCTGTTGTAGTCCAGGAAGAGTCATATGCTCTCTCAAAAGGCTGGCTCTTCTCAAAAAAAAAAAAAAAAAAAAAAAATTCTAAGAGAGGATGAACTGTAAAACGCACCCAAGCTGACTAAATGAGGACTTGCCTCCTAAAATCATTCTCACAAATCTCTCCTGTAACTGGCCTAAACAAACTCTCCTGGTAGGCCAAGACAACCAGCGAGTTCCTCAGGGCCAACCTAGCTCCTGAAGAAGAACTTAGGATATGAAGGAGGGGTGCAAGAAAGTAAGATGAAACAAACAGTAAGAATAAAATAACCTTACTAAAAGCTTACATTTATTGAGCACTTTTAATGTGATGGGCTCTTTGCTAAGCATTTTATGGGCACTATATTATTTAATCTTCATGACCCAATGAAGATGACCATTATCTACATTTTTAAAATGAGAAAATTACAAGTCCAATCATAAGTGCTTCTTCACTGGCCTAAACTGGGAACAAAAATTTTCAGGACTAAAGTAAAAGCTGAACTCATACCTAGCTCTTGCCAGGCACAGAGGTAACAGTTAAGCATACACAAGTGACAAAATGACTCATCAGAATTAAATCCAAAGTATA
The DNA here is from genome assembly GCF_000001405.40 of Homo sapiens. Classification (NCBI taxonomy): domain Eukaryota; kingdom Metazoa; phylum Chordata; class Mammalia; order Primates; family Hominidae; genus Homo; species Homo sapiens. The sequence continues at coordinate 92,907,475 of NC_000015.10, read as the reverse complement.
AAATCAAGACTATCTCTACAATCCTGCCTTAGCCGGATGCTTCTGAAACATTCTCTCCTTCAAGATCAGTGATCACATTTTCCCCAAACTACAGGGACTCAGTAATGAGAACTGAAATACTTTTCAGTATGATATCCAGTCCAGAACATGTTGAAATACCAAACAAGAAGACCCATAACCAAACATATTAACAATAAAATGCTAAATTATGTAGCATGAATGGCTACCACATATCTATGTCCTCCATCATTTATTTCAAAAAGAAAAGCCTTGTCCCTCACTTCATAATCAGGGCTCAAATATATTCAGTATATAGGAGCTTTTTTTAAAAAATGTCTCTCCCCCTAGACTTGCTTTATCAATTAAAGATTCCATTGATTACAGAAAAGGGTCATAAGACAAATGTGAGTAATGTGTTCCAGCATTGTGCTGAATTACTGATCACAAAATAAAAATACAATCCAGCCTGGACATTGGATGACTAAGTTTTGTTACTCAGGCTTTATACTGATAACCCTAAAGTTCCAAAACAAGTTGTGAATGGCAGCTTTGCAAAGGTATACATGTGAACTCAACGCTTAGTCAAGCTGAAGTGCAGGAGGGAGTTACTCAGCTGTGACACACCCAGTGTAACCAAGCCACAAAGTTACTTTCACCTGTACACAAAATACTCTTAGAGGAATTTTTTTTTAAGTTTCTTTGTTCAAGTGACACCATATCAAGAAAGCCAAGTTCTTCAAGGAAGCAAAGTTCTAAGGTTACCAAGAAGCAGCTAAAAACTAAAGGATCTTAAAAAAAAAAAAAAAAAAAAGATGGCTCATAGCAAGAAAAAATTTAATGGCTGACACAGAGCAGTCACTCAATTTTTATACCAGAAACAAACTTAGTGTATCAAATTTTATGGGAGAAATGATAGGAGTTTGGAAATACCAGGTGGTCTCAGGAGGTCTCTCATAACTGTCAGTTGTTTTATTTGGGGGTAAGGGAGAGTAAACTAATGATAAAATCTGTGAGTTTTAGTTAAAATTCAAATAAACTTCCAGATTCACTCCTCAAGCAATAACTTGCTACAACTGTCACAACCAAAAGTCTTTATCAAAAATATTATTTGCCCACCTTCCTCTGCTGACTTAATCTTTACAAAGATACTAACTCCCTAACGGCCAAATACTAGTTGGAAAGTGCATATTTTAAACGGCAAGGATACAGAGAGAGAGAGAGAAAGAGAGAGAAATCGATCAACACTCTTTTCTTGCTGCTTGATGCTATTCCCCACATCAAAGGGAAAAAAAGTAGAAGGCTCAACAAACATACCTAAGAACACTGGTTCTATAAAAAACTTAATTGGCTGCAAGATTGTCAACAGTTAATAGGTAAATTGTTATATCATGGTATGCATTTTAACTCATAATGGTATTTAGGTTAAAATATCTTAAATAACAGAATAGTTCATATCCTCTTCAAAAATAATTAACTGCAATGTTGACTACTTTGACCCCAGTTTTAGGAATTGAAAGGTATTCAGCAAATACTATTAACACAACTAATTAGAATTCAGTCTCTACACAAAAAGGGAGGTGAGATTATTACTTTCGTTCTTGTGGCAGGTATACTTTAAGTTGGAAGCTACAGTTAAACGTTCATCAAGTTCTATAAACACTTAATTCTCTGTTAGCATTTTATACGCAATATACATTTGAGCATATAATTTTAAAATCAGGTACAAATTATTTGATGAACACTTCTCTGTAACAGAAAAAGCAATTTCAGCTAGTTTTCACAAACTATCCAAATAATTCTTCCCAAAGAACCTAGATTATGAGAACCTACAAAACTCACTATCATAGTGAATTCTAACTTTCACAGACTGTATTCAGAAACTTGACATACGCCCAAGCAAATATCACCTGCACTGAAGGGTCAACATCTCCTTTGAAGTAACACACTTTACTAAAATAACTCTAAACTATGGCTAACTACAGGACAGCCTACTCCAACTGCTAAAAAAACTCTAGTATGGCAGGAAAAAAACTTTGTCCACAGTAGATAAATCCACTGAATTTCTTGCTTGCTTAAATTCAGTATGTGTAATTTAATTATTAAGACATCGTTGCTGAACGATGAAGTTTTAACCAGAAATCCTTGTAAAGGTTTCCAAACAAGGCAAATCAGTGAGCATAAACCCAACCGTTTACCGGGACTCAGAATTCCCGAAATGGAGGCCTAGGGAAGATAATTGCGAAGATTTGGCCAAGTGACCCCACTATCAGCCAAGCTGTCAGTCACCCTGCATTAGCAAGTGCTATTAACACTTAAAAGAGTAGTTTTCTGACATTTACTTACATAGTAATGGTTGCCTAACGCTGTATTCTGCCACTTTTTAATGTTATTGAACGTGAAATTTTCTATTTTCTACTAAACTATCCCACTGTGAATCTTAAATATATAGTACTTAGCACATACTGACCTGAGTTTTTCTCCATCAAATGCCAACTGAGAAAATGTACGGTACCAAGTAAAAACGCATGGGGACAAGTTCAAATAATCTTCCCTTTGTTTATGAGCCATGTATTAAACAGCTGTTAACACCCGTCAAGAGGTTTTCACTAAAATAAAAGTATCCGCCTCTGACACTCAAACGTTTTGGTCAATTGTAACAAAATTAAACCCACTCATCTCTTCACACTGAACGGGGGCGGGGAGAAGGGACGCTAAGGTATGAAAAGGGAAAATGTAAAACTGGGCAAATTTTCTATTTTAAGATTTCCAAATAGTGCCTTTAAAATTTATAAATAGTGCCTGCACTTTTTCTCCAAAAGCAGCCGCTTCTCAAAGAGGATAAACCATTCCCGGAAATGGGCAAAAGAACACACTACAGGGTGCGGACCGCTACAGGCAAGGGCGGACAAGACTGCCAGGAGCAAACGCGTCCAGGAAAGAAGCCGCCCACCGGAAAGTCCCAACTAGAGTTCCCTTCCTTTTCCCCTCGGCGTGCGGCTCCCTGGGTAGGGGGAGGAGAAAGCGCCCGACATGCGCACGCGGCCAGACGTCACTGCGTTCTCTCCCCGCCCCCCAGGGGAGCCGTCTGACGTCACGGGGCGGAGGCTGCCGAAGGCGCCGCCGTTGACCCTGCTGTTACCAGGCGCGCGCACAGCCAATCAGCACCCCGCGCCGGCGCCGGCCGGCCTTTGAACTCGGCACGGCAACTTCCTGCTGTTTGGCGAGTACACAGTGCAATGCAGTATGTCTGTCAGCGCTGCGGCACAAAGGAACAGCCATTTTGTGACTGAGCTGGACCTGCATCAAGATGCCAGGGGCTCAAAGAGCTGCTGCGTGCCCTATCGAACTGCCTTTTATGTCGGCACCAGAGTTCCCCAGAAGAGCAGAGAGGGGGAAGGAAATAGGCTTTGGTATTTCAGATTTCTATTAGTTTAGATTCAGTCTTCTCCAAAATCCCGTTTTTTAATGTATTATCAGCGTCATAAAATGGCTGCCAGTTAAACTGCCTGTTCTAGTACACAAGTAACTGCATTATGCCATTTCTAATCATCCCCAGCCTTTTAGAATATCTGGTAAAGCGCCCCTGAAAATTGTAGGATTTACCCGCACCTCAGGTTATAAAAATAAATCTGGCTCAAAGGCAGACGATTTGGAGATAAATTTAATAAACTCGTTCAATTCTTAAGATAAATTGCTAACGTGGTGCCGTGGAGAACACACTGAACTCTTTGTGTGCACACAGTCCCGTTTTCATTCTTTGATGTTACTTAAGTTATCCCCAAGCTGCAAATTATTCAGATAAAAAGTATGGTATACTTCTCGTATGTCCATCATTAGAACTTTGTTTTAAATACTTAGAAATTTTACAAATATCAATCAAATGTTTTTAAAATCGCGTTTTTTAAAGTTTTTAATTTTCAAAAATCGTGATAAAGTATAACAGACTTTAGCATTAACTTCAAATTAAAATACAAACTTATATAACCACTATTAACTACTGCACTATTTCCAAAAACAGGGTATTACCAGATTTACCTAAACTTGCACTCATTCTTTCCAGATACTAAAGTAATTCTCAGACCAAAGTTTACTTGACCTGCAAACTCATTTCCTCTTCTGTGGCTCAGGCTGCAAAGGTGATTTTCGTAGTATTCCCTAAACACTATACTTTGGGCAATAAAAACTCTGATGGCAGAAGGAACCAAGTACTAATTACAGGGACAGTTCAGCTCAGTAGAAGTAATATTAATCTACCACATTAAAACACCACTAACATTCTACAGCTGCACATTTTAAAAGGAAGTGATGTCATAATTATGTACATGTATTAAGATATGAAATTTAGGGTAACTAATTTAAAAGTAACTATCTTCTTTTCAAAGAGTCTTAAATATTTTTGGACATCCATCAGGTATATGATTCAAAGTATACTTGACAAACCAATTTAAAAGTACAGTCAGTACATGCTTCATGTACAGCTGTAACCTCCACTACCAGTAAGCAAATGCCTGACAACTTCCAGGTAGTTTTCCAGGTGAGAGTAAAAATACTGAAAGAATACCAACACTGCTCAATTTTTTAGAATTAGAAAGCACAGTCTGATCAATGATGTTAACCACAAACCTTGCATAAGAGAGCCAAAACCCATGTGAGACCTATGCAAATGATACACTCAAGGGAGCAACAATTTTAGTGCTGAATCTTTAATAATTTGCCAAATATATCTGGAGGTTCTCATTTCTTCAAATTGTCATTACTTTCCAGAAAAAAACAGCTTAGGATGAGTAAAAAACTTTTCTGTCCTCAATTTAATCTAGTAATTTACATGGGCAATTCAATTAAGACAGCACTACAAACTGGGTGACAACTCAATGCAAAAAAATTTGGTAACTTATTTTCTAAAGCAAGGCTCAATATGCTTTCAGTCAAATAAAATAAATAGAATTCAGCATATTAGTAACACATCATGTTCAAAACTTTCAAATTCACTAGCCTAATAGAAAAGTGTATTATTTATAAAAATTAGAAAAGTAAAAATTGGGAAGGAAAACCACATAATGAATCACATCCTTGTTAAACTGCATGATTTAAAATTTATAATATGAAAATGCATAAAGAACACATCAAAAAATGCATTCATATGTACTTTTAAAAATTAATATACAGAGGTCATACAACAAAAACATCTTAGAGGCTTTATTACTTCATCACTAACAAGGTACTCCAAGGAATGTGAAACAGATCATGATTTGCACAAACAGTACATTTTTAAGCTTCAGAAGATAAAGCATTCCAGACGACTCTGTCGAAATACATCAATAAATTTAAAGCAGCTACATCTAAATTGTGAGGATAAAATACATCTACCAACAGGAAATCAATGTCTTAAGCATACAAATGCAAACCTTAAAATAATTTAAATGTAAAATATACAACTGCAAATATTAATCACAGTAACAAACACAAAATAGAAGTATATATTAAGAGTATTCCAGGATTTCTGTTATTACAGATTTGATTTCATAAATGCAGGAACTCTAACCATCAAGTAAAGGTTTTGATAAATCACATCAAAATTTCCTAAAATGTCAAGTGTATCAAAAGAAATATAAAGTCACATAAAAATATAAACTGAGAGGCATCAGTCAAAGGGTCCTTTAAGTGATTTTGTTTTTAAATGTACATTTTTTCATTCATATAACTTTCTGATATGTCTATTTACTATAATTTACTACTACAAGGCTTCTCTATGGCCCTCAGTTACAAGTTTAGATATCCTGGATTCTTCAAAGAAAAAATTTGCCTTGTATGTAAAATGGTGCAATGCAGCAATGGCTAAACCGACAAGGTCATTTTTCTGCAGTACAAAAACCTAAAAACTGAAATTTACTGACAGAAAAACTGTACATTACAGTAAAGGCCCCTTTGAATAAAGGTACCTTACCTTTTGACTGCTGTAAGAGGCCTTAAGTCACAACTCAACTTTCATAAATTGCTACCAAAAAATTAGGGTGTGGCATATTAGCAATCTCAAGGTCATGCTTTAAAAAACGAATCCAAATTAGAAAAACACAATAAAACAGACAGCAATCCATGTCTGTCAAGGTAAACAATTGTAAGCTGAGGTTTCTCCCCCAAAAAAAAAGACAAAAAGGAAGAAAGTTGATAGCTCATACCTCGATGCATTGCTGTGTAGCGAACTGTCCTCCTCTTGGCTTTTGTCCTTATTTCTCATCATCTTTTAATTCTTAAATATTAAGGGGGAGGGGGAATCTGTGTTTGCTTTGAAGTCCTGTGCCCAGGTATTTACTGTCAAAAGTTGAAAGAAAGGTAAGGTCCCGGCTTCTATCGATGCTTTTTATTATCAGGAACAAAGTCCTGACGATGTTAACGATATTGTTATAACACAACAACGGTAAGCACCAAAAAACTAAATATTTCTATTTTTTCCTTAAAAGAAAAAACAACAGGATAAACCGAACAGTGGAAGCATCACTATCAATAAGGAAACTTTCTCAAAGTAGCACACTAGATACAAATAACAATCTCTGTATCTTATTGCGTCATCCAAGAATTTCTCGTATTTACAGAAAACAAGGCAAACTTAAACAAATAAATCTTTAAAATTATCACCAATGATCGTGAACTTACCTGATCCATGTAGTATGTCCAAACCAAGAGTCCTATCTACTAGTAGAAAAATATCAGATCCCAAATAATTAAAAATAAAGGCAAAATCCTCCGTTAAAAAACGAAAAATAAATAAAATAACCCTCAAATATGTTAACTGGTCAAAAAAATAAAGCAATAATTAATACTAAAACAGGTCCGAAAGAAAAAAAACCTCATTAGGAGAGCGCACAAAAATGGAGGTGCGCCATGGCTTCTAAGCTGGAAAAAACAACGACCTGGGCTCTCAGTACGGCTGCTTCTTTCCAACAAGGCACGAAAAGAAAGCTCCTAAAAGCTGCTTTTCTCCCAAAAAAAGGTTCGAATCGACCCCAGTAAGTCCCTAGGAAAGGCAGGGGGCTACGGGGGCCCCCTGAGGCTGCCCGAAAGTTAGGGAAAGTTGCGTAAAGTGAGGCAAAGGCAGGGAGCAGAGCGCGCTCTCTCTAAGGCACAGCCGCCATCTAGAGCCTCCTTCCCAGCTCTGAGAGCTCTGCCTTTGATTGACACTCTCTACATTTACCCCACAACTCAGGTGATGTACCATAGACCCACCCCTTCATCTCCACCAAAAAAAAAAAAAGGAGAGAGAGAGAGAGAGACAGATCCTCCATCCCAGGGAGCCTAAGGACCCCCACCCCCACACCTCCCTGCCCCTCCAGACCACCCCAACAGGGGGAGGGGGGAGGGCTTCTTAACCCCCTCTGGCTCAAGCACCCTTTTTAAGCCAGAGAGAAATGTAATTTGTTCCTTTTGTCTAAAGATCTGCTAAATATTTCAGTCCTTGAGCTAAAATAACTTCCTCCCTGGACAGGAAGTGGTGTTTTATCAAGCCATTTTGAAAAAGGGATAATTCTTAGAGAATCTAAAGCTCAGCTAAGTACTAATCTTTTTAAAAATTAATCCCCCAATGGGTGAAATGATTGCTAAATAAAAGTAAAACCTTAATTTCATAATATAAATTCAAGTTTTTCCTTCTTTATGATGCCTAAAAATAATCTAAAGACAAAATTTAAGGGGGAATTTTCCATCTCCACTGGAAGAAAGGGGTAACTTTTACAACTCAAGAGCGCCTCCCTAGTGTTCAAGTTGCACTGGAGCAAAAGTTAATGCAACCAATTTTTATTCAAGAATATCCATTTTTCTTTGTTCTTTCACAAAATTCTTTAACCCATTATATAACCTTGAAAATATTACACTCCTCCCCCCAAAGAAACTTCTCATAATCACAATATATTTACTTCCCATACTGATTCAGGCAAAAATTCAAGAGTATGGTCCAAACACGATCACCTTTAAATCAGTAACCCAAGAAACTCCACGTCCAAATCCAACAGAAAACACATATCCCAACACTTCCCTTATATTTCAAATCAAGTAAGTATACACCCATTTCAACAATGTTATTAACAATAGGACATACGTGATTGCAAATTATCAAAGTAATGTCACAAAGCAAATTCTCCTAAATATCAAAACCATGAGATCCACAGAAACAAATTACTAATTCCAGAAACAATATCCTACCAAGCACTCCATTCAGACAAGCATATTCACACACCCAAAAAAATCCAATCAACTTTCCTTATTCAACATAATCTGCCAGAACCATGTCTCTCCCTCACTGAAGAAATCCACTTTAGATTTACACCAAACAAAATCAACAATGTCCAATCTAGGTAAAATCCATAATCCAAACTGTTTCAATTCCATACTCTACACACAAAGATAAATTTCGTAGCAAGAACAATATCCAAAATTCCATTTTTGAATTTAACAAAGACCAACCACCTCACATCAGTCAATAACAAATGGTGCTCGTGTATTAACCATGGATGTGTATGCTGCAGTATTTGACATGAATCACAAACAGTATGATTAACACAAAACAATTTAACCTGAACTATTTATTCTTCTCATGTAAAATGGGAAAACAGAATCAAGAACTCATTTTGTCTACCAAAATAATGCCTACCACCTTTGTAATAGTTACCAAAACTGGTATCAGTTGATTAGTAATAAATGAAAACCTGGCATTTAAAAATCAAACGTAAGTAATCTATGGCAGGGTGCAATTCATTTATTCTAAATCCCCAATTGTACAAAATAAAGACGATACAAGATATTAATCCTACTTCAAAGTTATATAAAATGGATTACACACATAATTTCAAATTTAAAAAATTGTGAATACTCCAAGGACCCTAACCCATAAATCCAACACTTCTTCCTCTAATAGTAAGACAATAGGAGACATTAATTTAAATATTCAGATGAATATTCTATAGCAAGATGTATTTATAGTATTAAAAAGCTTAAGAAACCATTTCAATCAACACAAAATAATTCAGAAGTATATGTGTATCACTCATCCTGAATTTTCGAGCAACAAGCAGTTTGTTTCAAGTTCATTAAAATCTTGTGGCAGATTAAAATCAGATTCTATTATTACCCATTGAGTTGTTTTGAAAGGTGTTTCATGAAAGCACAAACAAAACAGTATTTAAACCAAATGACCATCTAAGAGCACAACTTTGTGAAAAACGTAAATCTTCATAAACCAAGTAAAATGTTTTCGATTACACCATTTCCAATTTACCAGCTTTATTCATATTCAGTACACTTTACCACTCGGCAACTACAAAGGCCAAAGTATTACTAAAATAAAACTAAACATTTAATTAAACTTCCACTTAAAAAAAAAAACCCAAACTGAGAAATTTTTAAGTGTTACAAATTTTATTAAAAATTAACATTTCAAGAGGTCATACGCATACAAATCAAACTGCAAAAAATTCCAGGCATAAAAACTATTATCTGGGTTAGTGTGCCATCTTTCTTCTCCAAATGTCAAAATGTCCACAAAAAAAGTCTTTAGAAAGTCAAATCCACTGTCCATTTGTGTTGGGTAAGAAACCTATGTCTTCATTCACTGCATGGAATCCATGTTAAAAGAACCCTGTCTTGGTTGTATATTATCACAGGACTCTTGTATTAATCCATTTTTCCTCAATTCCCCATAGTAGACTGCCATCTTGATTTCTCAGTGGTAGGGTCCATTTGAAACTCTTCAAGCTGACTGGGTGCTTGATGAAAAAATTAAAAGAAAAAAACGCTGTTGGCATCTTAATCTTTTAAACAGAAAACATCCACCCACCTTGAAGATATCCTACCATACACAAAACTTTCATTTTGTAACAGCTTTCAACTATGAAATTGTAAAGTTGTATGCAAAACACACACACAACTCCTTGATAAGACTGCACGCCAAAGTAACAAAGTCCTTGTACTACCACAGATACATTTGTATCTATAAAAAAGTCCCAGTGAAGAGTCAGATTTTTAATATTTAACACTAACATCATTATACTGTGTACATAAAAAGTAAAAACAAAAATTAAAATTCAAAATTCCTGGAAAGCTAAATTACAGAAACACTGTGGATTCTAAATCTCAATGCAGAAAACTTTCCAAGCTTCTTCAAAGAAAACTAATTATAGAAAAGAATCTTAAGGGATTTGAAAAAAAAAAAAAACATACACACATAAAGCAGTCGATCATAGCATAGTTTTTCAATCCAACAGATGTTGGTTTTGTTTAGATAACGAAAATGGCCACTATAGGTGGCACCATCTTTAACGACATATCTGAGAATACAGAAAAGATGTAGCCACCAAAAAAAAAAAAAAAAAAAAAAGATCAAAAATGCAAAGTATCTGCCTGGCTTGATAGATTTGCCATAAAATGCTGTTTTCAAATTATATGCAACTAAAATAATACACTTTCATTACCAAAATACCAAATGTCTCTCATAGAAAAACAAATCCATTACTTAAATAATTTTAACTGAAGGGAGAAGTGAGAAGTGAGAAGTCAGATGATTTTATCATTAAATAAATGATTCAGATTCATCATGACCAAACATAATTTGAAAAAACAAGATTTAAACCCTGGTCTTCTCTATAAATTTTCCAGCTCTCCATCTGAATTTGTGGAGATACAGTCAAGTGTGACTGAATTTGAGGTAAATAAATATAAGGGCATTTTTGCCCATTAGGTAATTCCTTGTCTCCTTGGCAACAATTAGGATACTGTTTACTATATACAATACAAAAATCTACTTACTTAACTATTTGGTTAACTGAGATACTGCCACCCATATTAAAAAACATTGATTAAAGGGAGTGTCACAGCATCAGTAATAAATATCAAAAGCAAGATATTTCTCCTTGATTTTGCTCATTTCTCCCCAGCTTTAAAAAGAAAACTAAATTACTCAATTCATTCCTGATCTCAGTAAAAATCTTCCATCTGACTTGTTCATTCCTTAAAATTAAGGGACATGTACTTCTATAGAGAAGTATAAAAGTAAAAACATCATTCTCTGTCAGAGTTAATTATAAACCAATTTATTTTCAATCTCTATTGTTACAAGATTCAAGCTCTAAATGAAGTTGGTGATGTAAATACTATTATGATGAACAATGACACTGAGAATGAAAATGCATTATCAAATTACAGTCATATTTCAATATCTATAGATGCAATTTATTTATCTTAGTACCTTAATTTAAAAAACTCAAGTTTTATATTTTTCTGACACAGGACAGAGATAAAATTTATCCAGATTTCCTTCTAAAACCATTATTTTTTTCAAAAAATCCAAAGAAAATCTAATGACATTATTAATATCATTTCAAAATTACTCAAAATATATTAGTTTATGTGACAACAGCAGAGATTAGAAAACAGCATATTTATCATACTCTTACAGTCATATATTTAAAGATAGTAAAAAAAAAAAGTAAAGAAAAAAATGCTACAAGAGAAAACTCTGACAACTCTTAGGACATGAAAAAAGCTATGATCAATCTGCACTCCTGCAAAGCCAATCCAAAGCCAAAAGTGAGAATTTTGTTAATAAGGAAAAAGTGTTCACTGAGGCATCAGAGATTTAGGAGTAATCCATTTATTTTCATAGAATTCAAATTCTTATAAAAACTGTATTTGCTAAAAAATAAAAAGAAATTAGGCTTAGTTCTGTGAGCCTGGAAATTTTCTTAGAAACAAAATCCACAGTTCTTCATCTGTAAAATAAAAATAGTACCTACCTCCTGTGGCTGTAGAAAGAATACTTTTATAGGATTTTTATTACCTGACATATAGAAAGATCTCAGTAAATACTAGCTATCATTCTGATGTACCACAATAACCAAAGTACTTTGAGACCTACAAACTGACCTTACTGAATCAAAGTTCATTTATACATCATCAGTAAGAGTATCTCTGAAGAACACACAGGATCATGGGGTCAGCAGTCTTGCATTAAAATAAAATCAAGATCCTACAGAAAACTGGGTAGGGTTTAGATATCAAAACCCTCTACATGTTCCTTTCCAGTAACTTGTGAATTACTGCAGACATGGAAGACATGTTTTGATCTAGAATTCCATAATCAGACAAACCTAGATCTTTTCTGTATTTCACATATAACCTTCAAGCTCATAATATAAATGGTTAACAAAATTTTTCCCCTTTGATATTCACTAGTTTATACTTCCTTTTCAAAATAATGTGCATGTTCTAAGAGTACCATTCCCACAGCAAAGGTAAAAACTTAAATGGCAACAAAGCTTCAATGAGTAACTACTACCCCTTAAAATTCCCGCATTATCATACATCCAGAAGAACATAAAGTTGAACATGGAGGTATTCTCTTCATTGTATTTTTAATTATTTTTTAAGATGGAGGTCTCACTACGTTGCCCAGGCTGGTTTCAAACTTCTGGGTGGAAGAGATCCTCCCACCTCAGCTTTCCCAGTAGCTGAGAACACAAGTACATGCCTCTGCACCCAACTAAGGTTTTTTTTTTTTTTTTTTGAGACGGAGTCTCTCTCTGTTCCTCAGGCTGGAGTGCAGTGGCGCAACCTCGGCTCACCACAACCTGCACCTCCCAGGTCAAGCGATTCTCCTGCCTCAGCCTCCCAAGTAGCTGGGACTGTAGGCGCATATCACCATGCCTGGCTAATTTTTGTAATTTTAGTAGAGACGGGGTTTCACTATGTGGGCCAGGCTGGTCTCGAACTCCTGACCTTGTGATGCACCTGCCCTCAGCCTCCCCAAAGTGCTGGGACTACAGGCCTGAGCCACTGCACCTGGCCTGGTATTCTTTTTAAATTCTACTTTAGTAAATTTGTTCCAAAAACACTGGGACATGATAAAATACATTGTTGGTGGATACACAGGTAAGTGATTCACCATCTGGATTGAGTTTACAAGGGCTCTCCTAAAATAAACCATCTCCTTTCCTCTACTTCTCAGCAACTTTTCCCATTTTTAATAGCAAAGAAAAATGGGGCGGGGGGCAGGGGCAGAGAGTAGTATAAGGAAAAAGAAATTAGTGATTCCTAATTGTCTTAATGGATGGCTATCATAAAGCTACTATTATTAATGCAACAAATTATTTTAAAACTTAAAACACTTATTTCAAAGTCAATGATGGGACAAACAGGTGTAAAATTACCTAGAGCAAAAATTCATCCTTCTCATCATGTAATTAACATTCTTGGTGCTTATGATGATTTCAATCTTCGTCTACTGTCTTTAAATGTGGAAATATTTATGCAAGAAAGCCCTGAGAGGCTGGGTGCGGTGGCTCACACCTGTAATCCTATCACTTAGGGAGGCCAAGGCCAGCACATCCCCTGAGGTCAGGAGTTCGAGACCAACCTGGTCAACATGGTGAAACCCCATCTCTACTAAAAATACAAAAATTAGCTGGGCGTGGTGGCACATGCCTGTAATCCCAGCTACTGGGGAGGCTGAGGCAGGAGAATCAATTGAACCCGGGAGGCAGGGGTTGCAGTGAGCTGAGATCGCGCCACCACACTCCATCCTGTGCAACAAGAGTGAAACTCCGTCTCAGGGGAAAAAAAAAAAAAAAGGAAGCCCTGAGAAGTAAATTCACATATGTTGACTTATTACCAAGATACCTTGAATCTTCAGTAGAATATATATTAACAAGTCTGGGTCTTATGGGCATAAAAACTAACTATAAAATTAATGTCAATTGTGACAACTAAGAAAAGGAGTCATCTTATTTAAGGTTTACAATCAAATCAAATATTCCGGTACCGTCCTCAATGGTTTAAAAGTTGACTATATATGCAAACTAAGAGATTGAGAATTGCAGAGAAAAAATGAAATCTTGTCACTTTTAATTTTTACTTGGTCAAAACTTTGGCTTTCAGGCATACCTACAATTTTATATTTAATTCATTAAAACATGTTTTAATAGTCAATGTCACTGTTTTTAAATTAAATCCAAAACACTAGCTGATAAACAATGTTTAACAGAAGCCATATTGATACACTAAGTATTTATTGAGCATCTACTATATGCTATGCAACTGATCCCTTTAAAATGACCACAGCCAATTATTGTACTATATTAGAAAAGTTTTCATCTCTTTCATCATCCTGTATTGAAAAACAAATCCCCCTCCAAAAATAAAATCTATTTCGCAGGCCCTAGCAGCCATTTACACAACGCAAGCTAAAGTAGCCATAGGCAAAAATTATCATCTAAAATCTAGATTCCCAAATATGATTCAAAAAAATTATTTTTATGAAGTAGCTAATATATAATTACCAAAAAGGTTGTCAATAATAAATCATGTTGGCCAGGTGCGGTGGCTCACACCTGTAATCCTAGCACTTTGGGAGGCTGAGGCGTGTGGATCACCTGAGGTCAGGAGTTCGAGACCAGCCTGGCCAACATGGGGAAACCCCATCTCTACTAAAAATACAAAAATTAGCTGGGAATGGTGGTGCGTGACTGTAATCCCAGCTACACTGGAGGCTGAAGCAGGAGAATCGCTTGAGCCCCAGAGGCGGAGGTTGCGATGAGTCAAGATCATGACACTGCACTCCAGCATGGGTGACAGTGGAACTCTGTCTCGAAAAATAAAATAAAAATAAATAAATCATGTTGAGAATTCACCAAAATTCATTTATACAACCTTCCCATCAACTCTTTCCAACTATTTTTCAGGCTGTTAGAAAAACTATTTCAGAGGTGCTAACCATGTCTTCTAACATCAAAGCATAACTTCAGGGACAATCAGGCTAAAGAACTTTTTGTTGGGCTTTCAAGTTTAACTTCAAAATTAATTAATTAAAAGTAATTATAATATTGGAAATCATTAAAAATTATGTTCTATTACCAAAAGAGAACCGAAGGGCTTCTGAGTTCTATACAGGTTAAGGCAATGCTGACAAAAGGAAAAGCTGTAGGACCTAGGATAAACTTTCCCTACAGATGAGACAGGAAATATTTTAGGCTTTGTAGGCCATTCAATAGAACTCCTCTGCTTGCTGCTGCTATATACTGAGAAAGCAGCGGCAAACAATAACTAAATGAAAGCGTATAGCTGTGCTGCAATAAAACTTTATTTACAAAAACAAAGAGGAACCATTTAGCAACATCCATGTTTATAATAGTGTTAGAGGTATGTTCAAATGTGGGTTTGTTTGCATTTTAACTTGCCTAAGTGAAGAAAGCAGAAAATAATAGATTGGAGTAAATTAATAAGCGAAATTTCCATGTTGATTTTCTTGTACTGTGTTGAGTTTCACTAAATCCCTCTTTACAATTCTGACTCGAATTTTCAAAATTTCCAAAGTAGTATTTAAAATTTCTAAACAGATTAAACATGTAAATTGAATAATACTTACTAAATGTTTCCACCAATGTCTACTTCATTGTATGGGGCCTTTAGAGGATTCAGTTTGAGGTTCATATTTCTGCAGAGGACAAAAAGAATTTAATTTTATACATAAAAAATGAAAACAGATTATTAAGCACCATGATTTATACCCAAAATGTCAACATCTTGCAAGGGTCATTTGCCAATAGACCAAAAGATGTATGTATGTATTAACAATACAGTCCAAGCAGAAATCATACAAGCTCTTGAGTATCACAAATTTGGCTCCTCTCTAGAATAGGTTACTACAAAATCACAAGCGTAAGTTTCAGCCCCTAAGAACTCCAAAAATGTAGGTAAATATTTGGGCTCCCCAGGTGGATCTGATGTTTGGGAACGAGTTATTTAACACAGCCAACATTGCTCTTACAGTACAGAATTGTTTCACTTTCTAGTCTTACATCTATTTACTTTCAATCCTTCTACAGGAAAGTTTACATTGCCCACCTGTAAGGCCACTTTCTCATTCCTTAGTATTACCATATTATTTCACATTATTATGTCTTTAATCAACACTAAGACAAAATGTTAGGAAACCATAGGCATCATTTCAAATTACTACTAATTGTACCAATCTATTCAACTAAACCAACACTAATCATTCCTAAAATATATACTTGATAATAAAAATGTATCCGGCCAGGCCCGGTGGCTTACACCTATAATCCCAGCACTTGGGGAGGTGGAGGCAGGCAGATCACTTGAGGTCAGGTGTTTGAGACCAGCCTGGCCAACATGGTCAAACCCCGTCTCTACTAAAAATACAAAAATTAGCCAGAAATTGCTTGAACCCAGGAGGCAGAAGTTGCAGTGAGCTGAGATCGCATCGCTGCACTCTAGCCTGAGCAACAGAGCGAGACTCCGTCTCAAAAAATAAATAAAATGTATCCATACTTTCCACTAGTTAGACTTGAATACCCCATAACTAAACATGGAAAATAGCGTTTCCCATATCTCAAGTAACATACCTTTTTCATCACTTCTGTTCCCAAGTATGATTACAATAATCATCCCACCACCACAAAGAAAACTTATTTAAAAGTTCAATATGAAAATAGGCAGGGCGCAGTGGCTCACACCTGTAATTCCAATACTTTTGGGAGTCCAAGCTGGGTGGGTCACCTGAAGTCAGGAGTTCGAGACCTGACCAACATGGTGAAACCCCAGCTCTACTAAAAATACAAAACTCAGCCAAGTGTGGTGGTGCACGCCTGTAATCCCAGCTACTCAGGAGGCTAAGGCAGGATAATCACTTAAAAACGGGAGGCGGAGGTGGCAGTGAGTTGAGATCACACCACTGCACTCCAGCAGCCTGGGCAACAGAGCAAGACTCAATCTCCAAAAACAAAAACAAAAACAAAATGTAGCAATTTAAGGTTTTTAGAAGGCAACGAAGTTTAGGATTTTAGTTAAAACTATGCTACCCAAATGCTTCTTTAGGACTAATTTTCAAATTATAGAGCAAGTCCCTGTTTATCTTCCCAAATCTAAATTCCTTTAGTCATTCGGACAGATCATAATCAAGAAATATAGCAGGCCGGGCGCGGTGGCTCACGCCTGTAATCCCAGCACTTTGGGAGGCCGAGGCGGGTGGATCATGAGGTCAGGAGATCGAGACCATCCTGGCTAACAAGGTGAAACCCCGTCTCTACTAAAAATACAAAAAATTAGCCGGGCGCGGTGGCGGGCGCCTGTAGTCCCAGCTACTCGGGAGGCTGAGGCAGGAGAATGGCGTGAACCCGGGAAGCGGAGCTTGCAGTGAGCCGAGATTGCGCCACTGCAGTCCGCAGTCCGGCCTGGGCGACAGAGCGAGACTCCGTCTCAAACAAAAAAAAAAGAAATATAGCAAAGATCTGCTTCAAAATTGCTCTAAGAGTAGGTGCTAAATTATCTTCCCAAGAAATTGACAAATGAAGCAATTTAAAAGGAACACAACATATTTCTGATCTTCCAAATTTAATCTGACCTTATAAGTAACAGAGGGTTTTGTGAAGACAGACAAATCGTAAACCAAGTAAACCCTTAAGAGAAGGGCAGAAGTGACTTAAGGAATCTCGGTAAAAGAAATGTCTAAGGGAAATCCCTCACACTGCTCTGATAATGTGCTTATAAGTAAGTTATCTACCAGTAGATAGGGTTCTCACACCACCAAAGACAGAAAATGTATCTCACTTTGCATCATCACAAGAATTAGACACTAATGTAATCTACCATAGCATCTCCTTCCCCATGCATCACTCACAAAAATTACTAACCACCAAAATTGACAAAGTCTAAAATCACTTTGCCATCCTTGGAAAGACAGGAGAAGGGAGCAAAATTCAGCTTAGGCAGACTATGAAAGTTAATGATTTTGCTCGTATTTCCACCTACCCTATTTCATAATATCATAGTTTCAGATTTAATAACTTACAGGTATAATATACATATTTTGGTTGTTGTTCTTTCAAACAGTAAGGACAGCTTTAGTCAATTGTCATATTATCATTAGTCATTTATGCTTTTCTTAGAAAACTTGGTTTTTAAAACCATTTTTTACTTTTTCTTTTTTTTTTTTTTTTTTTGAGATGAAGTCTCGCTCTGTTGCCCAAGCTGGAGTGCAGTGGTGTGGATCTTAGCTCACTGCAACCTCTGCCTCCCAGGTTCAAGCGATTCTCCTGCCTCAGCCTCCCAAGTAGCTGTGACTACAGGCGCGTGCCACCACATCCAGCTAAATTTTTTTTTTTTTTTTTAATTTTTAGTAGAGATGGGGGTTTCACTATGTTGGCTGGGCTGGTCTCAAACTGCTGACCTCACGTGATCCACCTGCCTCGGCCTCCCAGAGTGCTAAGATTACAGGCGTGAGCCACCGCGCCTGGCAAATTTTTAACTTAAAAATAAAATCTGAGAGCACCATTAACTATAAAGTCATTAATATGTCTAAGAAAATTCACAAACCTCAAAGTTAAAATATAGCTTTATAATCTAAATTAAAATGACTATGATTACTATGTAGCACACGCTTAAGATATAATTGTTTGGGAAATAATTTCAAATACATGGCTTCATTTCAAAAGGCAGAGGAATGTTTTCTAAAACAGATCTGTCAAGCAACATACAAGGTATGTATCAAAACTTTTATCATATTGTTATAGAAAACATGCTACTTGAATGTTACATAAACCATCAAGTCACATATTTATAACCTAAGGATCAGAATATCCTTCAATTTAAATTGTGAAGGTTAATTACATTAAAAAATAATAGCCAATTTGAAAATCAAAGTGCACTGAAGCATTCAATCTGGAAGGAGGTAGCTGGTAAAATGAAGACATTTATCTTTCATGTACAAAAATTTTGTAAAGGAAATTAAATAGATTATATCAGGCATGCAAACTATAAATCCTCTTATTTATAACATAATCATGGTCAGGTGAAAAGTATTAAATAAAACCACTTAACTTTATATTAGGTACATTTACTACATCATTAGAAAAATTTTTTAAAAATGCTTTTACTGAAGCATTCTAAATATTGTTTAAAGACAGTACAATTCCTTAATCGCTTCTCTGAAATCAGTTTACAAAGTCTGTATAAGAGTATTAGGCATGCCTTAACAATTATTTTTATCCCACAATTTGAGAGCTAATAGGGATCTTAAGAGCTTGGAACTCTAAAGTCTTCATACAGATTATGAGATGAAGGTACAAAAGGAATAAAATATCAAGACCGCAAGGGCTTATTTACATTGGAAGGTAGGTCTCCTGAATGCCGAAACGTGTTATATTTTCCACTCTATCACCACCTCTGATTAACAAAAGATAAAGAGACGTCCTCAACTTATCTTTCTCCCCCTTATGCCGCTCCACAATCAAATCTCAGAGGATAAAAAGTAAAATTAATTAGTTGTCCATAGTACAAATTTTTAAATAATCAAAAAACGATGACTAATAGTAAATAAAACTTAAAATTTACATTTGAAATTACCTATTTCATATAATCTATAAATGTCATGTCATGAAAGCCTTGTGATTACACAGCATGGCTCCTTTCATTTCTATAGAATGTCAGGTAATTTTTTAAACAGTTTCTATCAGAACTAATGCAATCCAATTCAATCACCAAGTTGATCAGGAGATTTTTATGACTCAAGAATTATCCCAAAATGCTAGGGTAAAAACAATTATATAAGTATCACCTTGGTTCTTAAGCAGAAAACAGTGGTAAATATACAATAATCCACCTTCCTTATAAAATATAGTACTTTAATATCATATCTACATGATCCACTATATTTATCTTATATAATATTATCTATCTATAATAGTTATCTACATTCACATTTGCCCTCATGTGCCAATCAATTAGGTTCATTATACAAGATTGGCTCAAGCAGTTAAGTATCAAAACACTGAATATATGCAGTAACAAAGATCTAAGTACATGTGAATCTTTGATTTAACATTTCTAGCCCTTTCCAGCTGTTTTCTTTTTTATGAATCAAATTACACCTTCCGTAGGCCATTATAAATGTATTGCCTGTTTATACTTAAACACAGATTATGCTTCACATAAGAGACCCATTTCTCAATTTCCTTAACAGTGCCCAATGACAGGAATGCCAATTTAATATCACATCAATTGCACAGAGGAAACCCTAATCTCGGCATTTGTGTTAAAGAAGTTTTGAAGTGAGGGATGTTTCAACTATTCTTGTAAATGTTGTATCTTTAAAACACTACAGTTAAAAGTCAAACATTTAGTTTTCTCTTGCACACTGTAATACACCCAAGTTTGATCGAACTGCAAAAAAGGATTAAAAAGAAGTTAAGCTGAAGCAAAGGCAATAAAAATATTCCTCTTACCACCTATTTCAATCAATGGAATAAGCCAACACCAAGTATTGAAAGACTGTATTTTATTTTCCACATAAATTTTGAAGAAAAGGTAAACTTGCCCTTATTTTAATTGGTCATTTGGCGATTCTTAAATTTTCCCAAGATACCCATTATTATACCGCGTATTTCCTCTAGTCAATCGCTAATAACAGCTTGACATTAATTTTCAGATTCAACGTTAACTTACAAAAAAGGCATATTTCCTTAAAAACATCAGTGGACATTCTTTTAAATTCACGTATCTAGCTTTAAGATTTTAAAGTGTGATATACATGGTATGCTGGGGGCCCAATACCTACTGCGCGTGAAAATTATCTCTATCTTTCATGCTTTAAAAGCAATTACTAAGCAATTAAATTAGAGGACTCTTTAGATGCATTAACTCTCATTTCCTAGAAAACAACACATTTTTGGACCTGTTTGAAAACTCATGAAAACAATTAAAATGAGTATTTTAAATCTATTAAATGCCTAAGATATGAAAGTGTCTATTTAGTTTTTGAAATGTTGTTAAGAATCCTACGATCAGCAAATGCAAAATTCCAGACCATTCCTAAAATGTGATTTGTACAATCAAAAAAAAAAAAAAAAAAAGGCTTAAGACTGTATATACCAGATTTGTAAAAACATAATCTTGATGACTTTACTGCAGATTTAACCACAATCCTAAAGCACCATTTTATTAAGAAGTACTAAATGTCTTCCTGCTCCAATATAAATTACATGCATCGACTGTCTTGATAGTAATAGAAGTGTTTTCAATGTCAGGCAAAGAAATTTGATGGTTTTCTCATCCTTTCAGTGATAAGTAGTCTACAGTTTGTTTCATTAACAAACTTTAATGGTATTTTTCTACTTAAATGTTGGTAACTATTCAATTGCAGATGTTGGGTAAAAACATTTACTTACTTGCTATATAAAATACTGACTTTCCCAAAGATTTCCTTTATCCTCTAGGATAAAACTCCAACGTCTCAGTCTTCAAAATGGCATACCTTTTGGTGAAAACAAATAAGATTCTAAACTTAATTATGAAGCAAACAATAGCAAGTAAAAATAAGTGTTTTTAAACTTTTTAATTACAAAAAAGAAACTAAAATCTATGCTCAAAACCTGATTTTTTAAATGTTCTTCCCTAAAATCTATCAGTATGAATAGCAAACTAGTTCAAATTCTCCAATAAGCTTATTTCTTTAAATACTTAAAAGATTAAAATTGTTTGCACAATATACAGAGTTAAACAGAAAAAAAAAGCTATCTTTGGTTCATGGTTTTCCTCAAAATCTAATCAGTCTTCTCTTGTTCCCAAAATTAAACAAAGGCTTAAAGGACCTTCAGTATTTTAAACTATTCAAAGGGTACATTAAGTTACAATGGCTATGCGTATATACTTTTAATCTTTCCTGCAGTGAAAAGGCTTAAAGGCTTTTGTCAAATTATTTGATAGTTTACTCATATTCATAATCACAACTTTTAAAAATGATACCCATTCATTAATTGAAATGTAAATTATTAAAGATAAAACAAAAGCCTAATAAGCTAATTTTTGTCAAAACAATAAAAATTAACCCACTCTTACCTCAAATAAAAGAACTCATTATTTGTTCAGAACCAACAGCAACCAAATTAATTTTAATCTCTTAAGTCACCTTTAAAAAAAAGAAGAAAGATGATATTAATGTTTTGATTTTCAAGCATTTCTTGGCCAACGATTCAGTGTGATGAAACAAGAAAATATTCCACAGACAAAAATCTATGGGCAAACTGAAGAGATGGCTCATGGACACATAACCTGTATACATTTATGGTTGCAGTTATTTCTTATCTTAGTATCTATCAGTCTTTGTTTTCCTCATCTTTTGGCTGTATTGACCAATGCTAAAGATTAACGCATTGAATTAAACAGAAATACAGAAAATTCAAATTTTTGGACTGATTTAAGATTATGAACCTTTTTTTTTTTACTTTCCCTCTTTTTATGACAGGCAATAAACAAAGAAAAAGTTTACCATTCTTCAAGACAAATCATCTTAACATCTCCCTTACCATCCGGAAGTATGTTTTACAATCATGAGCAATTAAAAATTAGCTCCTCCAAGAGAAATTAGTGAAGTTAAAATGGCCACTGGTTACTTTAAATTTTAAACCACAAGTTACTTGATCTCACCAAGTGGGATACTAGCTTTGTCTCTAAAGCTACTCTAAAACTTACAGTATCTAGACCTTTACACTCAATTTCAAATCAGGGTCTTCAACATTTTCATTTCAGTCTTTCTCCTCCCCCATTTATCATGTAAAAAGATCTTTCAGGTTAAACTGCTAACAATTATTTTGCATTTCACAATTCAAAGAGGATTCTAAAGAACTAGATTCAGAATATTCATTTAAAACCACTTTCAGTGTTCAAAAATTTCAGAAACATTGATTTGAAAAACCAAAATTGGTACTTAAGACAGATTCTGTAAAATCAAGATATGCGCAACTGATGTAACATGTACCACTATAGGAAGGCTACTCAAAAAATAAAACAATTTTACTGGAAAAATGCCCTTAGAAATATGGTCGAATAAACCAGTATCTGATTTCAGATGTACTATGTAAGTCTGCCCAACACTATTTTTACGTAGTTCTGCACCTTTACAACACAAGAGCTCCGCAGAATGAAGACAAATATATTCTAAAATACACAAAGGTTTGTGCGCTTCTGGTTTGTTCTTCAAACCACTACACTTAAAAATTACCCTTCCAACATTTTTCTAAGATTAGAGACTATACAGAGAACTCTACTAAATTTTATGAAACCTGTACTTTTAAAATACTGTTCCGTTTTAAGCATATCTAGATTTTTATACATGCAACAAATGCAACAAATATGGCTCCTCTTCATCGCCCATTACCGAGAGCAGTCCTACTTTATTCATATTTACATTACGAGAAAGTAACTTCAGGAAGAGATTTGGTGTCAGAATGTTCTTTTGTGAAAGTTTTTCGATCATGGCTTGTGATAATATAAATTCTTAAAAATAATTAAATTATGAACTTTTAAAGACTAGGAATTGACCCAAGTACGTTCTAACATTCAGGTGTGAGAAGTTGCAGATAACGGCTCCTTGAGACCTTTTTAAAAAGTACCAAACAGTGTATTTAATCATATTTAAATATCAGGAGATCAAATGATCTTGGCGTCATTACTCGGTAAAATAAACTACATTAACCAAACGTCATCAGCTAGCTAGCACCGTAATTATCAAATCTATTTCCATTAAACAGCCTTGACGACACAGTAAACTTGTCTTCGTAATTCTGAAATACCAGAAGCACTCCTCCAACTTGCATTTTTCAAAGACAACCTTAACGTCATAAAGGTTTAATAAGCAGCAAGTACCTTCGCATGTATCACTGCAGCCGTTTCAAAATCGGCTTTGAAAGAGTTAAAAGCCAACACCCAATAGGAGGGAAAAAAACAAGTTTTATTTTTGTTGAAACGTAGTCAGGGTTCCATTGTTCTTTTAAATTCGATCATGAAGATGAGTTCCCACCTCACCGGAAAGAGGTTAAAAAGCTCCTCCGTTGGAGAACCTGAAAGGGATTTTTTTACCCTAAATATCAAAATAACTCACCAGGACAGAAAGGGGCTCTCCACGCCCGATCCCCTTCGGGCTCTCGCCGGCATTCACCCGCCGCCCCTTTCCCGGCGGATCCAGTCCCGGCGACGAGGCTGCCCCCCGCCCACCTGCCGCCCGCGGGCTCTGCAGCGGGGCCCCGCGTGCCCCCTACCCCAGGACCCTACGACTCGGGCCCAGGGCACCGAGGCGCATCCCGCCGGCGAGAGCCGGCCCCCGACCACGGAGGGGCAGTGCGAGAAGAGCCGAGCGGCGAGGCCCGGCCCGCCGCCCCCTCCTGCTCGCGCGCTCAAGGACATTTTGCTTTTCCTCCCAAGGACAAAGGACAATAAAAGGAGCTAGGGAGCCACTCACCGGGTCCGAGCGCGGCCACCGGCACCTCCTGGTCGCCCAAACCCGAGTCCCGGGCCGGACCGCCCGCCCGAGCCTCCCGCCCGCGCCGGGTCCAGCCGCCGGGGCCCGGGGGAGCCTCCGAGGCGGCAACCGCAGCGGCGCTTTCGGCGTCGTGGGCCCGGCCGCCCTGGGCGCCTCTGCCGCGGGCTGTGACGCCGACGCGCGCGGCCCGCCTCGCCTCAGCCGCGGCAGCCCCACTCCCGCGGGCCTGCTGGCCGTCCGGGCGTAGCTCCCCGCCGGCCGGCGGGCCTCGCGGCCGCGGCGGAACGCCTGACAGCTCGGGGTGCTGCTGCCTCTCCGGCCATCTTGTGCCGTGTGTGTGGTGTCTCTCTCCCGTCTCCTCTCTAGGCTTTACTCCCTCCTCCTCCTCCCCCCGCCCCACACACCACACAACATGGCCTCTTCGCTGCGGCGGCAGCGGCTGCGGCGGCGGCAGGAGCTCCGCCGCGCTCCAGCCCGCTCCCCTCCCCCACCATCCCCGCCTCCCGCCCGCAGGCCCGGGGGCCAACGCGCACGCGCGCCGCCGCCCGCCCGCCGCGGCCATTGGCTCCACGAGCTTCCTGCATCCCCTATCCGGGAGCGGCCTCACGCACGTTAGCTGGCGTCTTCCTCCCTCCCAACAACAACTTCTTCCATTCTATTGGTTAATTTCAACACCACCCCTTCCGCCTCCTTCGTGCGGATAGGCTGGCCTTAGTGCCATTCACTGTCCGTAGGCGTTTCTGGTTTTCTTGAGAAGCCCCGGGCCACGATTGGCTGGTGATGGAACCTTTGGGGTTGGAGCTGAGCTGTTGCTTTTTTCCCCGCAGTGCGGACCCCTCCAGGCTAGCTGGAGGGTTCCTGGTATGGTCTAGGCCAGGCTAGAATGGTTAGTGCAGGGTCGCACAAATAGTGGATTCGCGTCTAGAAAAAGCTCTGGCTTCGGTGTTTCTAGGTTCAGATTTTGTCTTTAAAAAAAGGGAAAGAAAAAAATGACTGACAGGATGATGAGCAAACAAGATACAGGCCCACAGCCCTTGGGCAAGCAGCCATATCCTCAAAATATTTGTTCTAAGCACCCAGGCCTTCCATGAAGGTCACACAGTCAGGACCAATGGTTTTACCATCAGCACATTCCCTAGCCCCAGTATCCGAGTTGAGATGCGATTTATTTGTGGATTTGTAGACTGCCTGTTGCGCATTTACCTGAGAGCCTAAAAGAATGTCTAGTGTCTTGTGAGCTGTCGTCATGGAAATCAAAAAAAACAATTAAAAAGAATGTCCAGTGTCCTGAGGCCTTAGCGAATCAATCTCAATACCGGTTGACTGGATTCCACCCTGTAGGACAATGTTTGTTAGAGTAGCAGTTTGAACCTGAAAAATCATAGTCTACCTTTTCAACCTCCTTCCAGAGAACCAGGCAAAACAAGTTTCATTTGCTTTCGGCAAATCTCACTTTTTTTTCGTTACTTCTTCCTACTTTAACGTGGAAACAACTCTAAGAAGACCATAGGAAAAAAATGAAAACCTAAACTTTCCTGAAATGGATGGGGAAAAAAAAAAGAGGTAGCTCTCTCCCGTTGCCGGTATTTAGAAATCTTGCTCCTTTTGGCAGGGGACCTGGGGAAAATGAAAGGAACACCAGATGCTTAGTTTTACCGGATTTTTTTTTAGAGGAGGGGCTTAGGGGTGAGGGAAACAACTCTTCAGTTCTTTTGAGCCTCTGCCCCTGGGTTAGCATCAGAAAATGTTACATACATGTAGAGCCTAGGAAATAGTCTGGCCGCTTTTTAAAATGACACAGTTGTTGATTGATTTGGCTCAGTGTAGCATCAGCCACTTAGGACAAAGCTAGGACTTGATCCCAAGTCTCCTGACTTTTTATAGATCTTGATTTCCTTGTATGCAACCAGGCCACCCTCCTTGGCAGTATACTTTGAACTCTAAGTAGGCACACACACACACCCACAAAATACTTCTTCAACTGAAATTAAATTTTCTCCAAGAGACATTTAATTTCCAAGAGACATTCCCTTACACAGTGTAGCTTTGGACACGGTGGACCTGCAACAAGGCTGTTTTTGCTGAAATAGCCCCATTCTGAATCCTTTTTTCCTCATTCTTCTGCTGTGTTTTTGCTGTGCTGTTGTTCACTCCCTTTTCCTTCCATTTTTCCCCTCTTATTACAACCTGAAATCCCTCTCTGATTGTGCCTTTACAGATTCATCACCGAGTATGTCTATGCCAGGGAAACAGACCTAAGCAGGCATTTATTAAAACAGTCATGGCTGAAAAGCATTGAGTTAGCTGACTAGGTGCCAGACATTGTTGTCAAATCTCATTGGGGATTAACTTGATCATACTGCACTCCAATGAGAGACAGTTATCGTCCCTCTCTGTGTCTTATCCCTATTAGGATACTGAGGCTCAAGGAGTTTAAGTAACTTGCCCGGGTTCACACTACCAAGAAGTATTTTAGCCCAGATAATTTGCCTTCAGACCCTTCGGCCTCTCCCAGTTTCCTTTCAAAAACTGTCCCTTCGCTGAATAGGTCATTTGGATCTTTTGTTGTGTGGATCCTCCAGATTTGCCGGCTCCTCCCTCCTATGCTTCATTGGAGGTATTCTACCTTTAGAATCAAACATGAGATCCAGTCTAATTGAATCCCCAGGCTTCGCCCCACCCCATTGCTGTCAATCTCCTGATGCCACCTGGGAGCCCTCCAGCTCTCTTGTTTGCTCCCCCTTTGATTTCTGGACCCCTAGGATTCAGCTTTGGAGTGGCTCAATTGTATGAAGAGATACCTTGGGCGACTTACATAAAATAGCTTTCTTTTCCCAAGTTTACATCCCACACGATGTCCTCTTTAGAGAAGGCCCTTTATTGAAACTTTGTCTGCTATCACAAATGACAGCTATGATTTCCTTTGCCATAGCTATACCATCTCTTCAGTCATCCCTCCTTACAGCAAGAAGAGTTCTATTGTAAATAAAAAGACCTGACACCTGGCAGACCACATCCTACCCCCTCCACAGCTCCTTTTCACTCTCAGTGATCTGCCAGAGAACCAAGAGGAAATCCCTCCCACCCCCAAGTCACACTGACTCCTGTGACTACCATTTCTTTGGGAAAGAAGATGAAGAGCCAAACCCTTAGCCTTGGCTCACTTAAAGGAAAGGCCTGTGCATGTGCTCTGAGTAGTTCTGTTACTATTCAATACTGTCCAGTGAAAAAATTGGCTGGGCAGAGAATATTTCTAGAAGGATACAAGGATATGTTTATACTGGTTGCCTCAGATGTAGCTACAGAATTGGGGCAGAAGGGACACTTTTTACTCTACTTTTCTGTGACTTTGGAATTTTGAACCATGTGAATGTACTGCCTTCTTCAATTAATTTTTTTTTTTTTTTTTGAAAGAGTCTTGCTTTGTCACCCAGGCTGAAGTGCAGTGGTGCAATCTCGAATCACTGCAACTTCTGCCTCTGGGGCTTAAGAGATTCTCCTGCCTCAGCCTCCCGAGTAGCTGGGATTACAGGCACGCACCACCATGTCTGGCTAATTTTTTTGTAATTTTAGTAGAGACGGGGTTTCACCGTGTTGTCCAGGCTGGTCTCGAACTCCTGAATTCAAGTGATCCACCCGTTTCGGCCTCCCAAAGTGCTGGGATTACAGGCATGAAGCACCACGTCCAGCCCTAATTAATTTATTTTTATTAAGTTATTTATTTATTTTGGAGACAAGTTCTTGCTCTGTCACCCAGGTTAGAATGTAGTGGCAAGATCATAGCTCACTGCAGCCTTGAACTCCTGAGCTCAAGCCATCCTTCCTCCCACCTCAGCCCTCAGCCTCCCAAGTAGCTGGGACTACAGGCATGCACCACCATGCCTGGCTAATTTTTTTTTTTTTACTGTAGAGACAAGGTCTTGCTTTGTTGCTCAGGCTCATCACAAACTGCTGGCCTCAAGCAACACTCCCACCTCAACCTCCCAAAGTGCTGATCTTTAGGAGGGAAGGCAAGATAGAAGGAAAAAAGCAAAGAAACTAAACAATCTGCTGAGCTAAAAGCTGACACTACTGGAAAGAAAGGTTAACTTTTTTATTTACTGCATAAGAATCTGCATTGCCTGAATTAGTTACAGTAAACACTTGTAATTTTTTAAAATGAAGTGAAGGTCACAGGAAACTCAGTACCTCCAGGGCTGTGAACGTCATCTAAGGTGCACCTGGCTGATAATAAGGACTCCTGGTACATAGAATGGGAGACAGCAGCTTCCACTCCAAATGTCACATGACTTCACACAGCTCAGCAATAGAACAGGGCTTTCCACAGTCCTCCCTGCTTCCCCGAAGCTTCACAGGTTTATTTTCCTTCTTCTGCCTTCCACTCCTCTAATAGCAATTAAAGGAGAGGCAGAAACGCCAGCAAGGTCTGCCTTTCCCCCTGCTTCCCTTCCTCCCTGTCCCCTTTTGCTTTGGGGTGTCTCCTTTAGATTGTCAGCTGAGCTTATCTTGGAGGCGCAGCAGAAACCTAGGATGACCTTGACTCAAACCAAGGACACGGTTTTCAAGTGCAGGCGTTTCCAGATTCCTGCTGTTCTGCTCCTGCTCTTTGCAGCTTCTCTTGCTCCTCATACTCTGCAGAACTTGAACGCAGGCTCTGTCTTATGCTCGGTATACCCTCTGCTCCTTCACGTGTGGTAGTCCTTCTTTGCTTTGCACAGGTTATGTCGCACACAGCATTGAAGATCATTTGATTCTCAAAATATCATTGCCAAGCACAATTATTGAGTTTCTTTCATGTGCCAGGTACTATTTTAGGAGCTGAGGTTATAGCATGGACAAAAGAGATGGAGTACCTGTTCTCATGGAGTTTATATTCTAGAGGGGGGGAAAGGCAATACACAAGAAAATACCTATAGCCGGGCATGGTGGCGCAAGCCTGTAGTCCCAGATACTGAGGAGCCTGAGACAGAAGAATCACTTGAACCTGGGAGGTGGAAGTTGCAGTGAGCCAGATCACACCACTGCCCTCCAGCTTAGGCAACAGAGTGAGACTCCATCTCAAAAAAAAAAAAAAGAAAATACCCAGTAGTAATAAGTGCTGTGACGATGGGAGCCAAATTTTGGTTGAGTGGTCAGGGAAGACTGATCTGAGGAAGTAATATTTAAGTTGAGGCAGGAAGGGCACAAAGGAGGCAGCTAGCTATGTGTATATCTATGGGTGGATTCCAGGCTAAGATGGCAGATAGCATGCATGCTACTAATTTTGCTCTATCCCAAAACTGCACTAAACAGATTTTCTTTTCTATTCCTTTTCTTTCTTTTTTTAAGTCGTAAAACCATAAGGAAAGGAGAACAGGAGAGGAGAAAAGAGCAACACAATTTTAGAAGCTGAAAAATAGATGGATGAGTGGTAACTGATTTAGCAGACATGAGAAAGCTGAGATCCAACCCAACTTACACTGGAAAAACCTCAAAAGGCTCAGAAACTGCCAGAACCAGGGACCGTTGGGACTGAGGGTGGAGGAGAAGGCTAAAATAAGGAGAACTGAGCGAAAGCAATTTAAGGAGCAGTGAGATCCCTAGATCCCCTCTGTGCTTCCAGCAAAAAAAAACCTGGAGGTTTATCTTCTAGAAAGTCTCTGACTTGGAGGATGTCAGGCTTGCTGAGGGTACAGGAAATAAAGAAATGGGGAGGTCCAGAGGCCAGATGCACAGTGAATGCAGAGACTCCAGCAGTCTTGCTCCATCTGGCTCTCAGATTTCTGGCAAAGTGACTTCTGTCTTCCAGGTAGGAGAGTGGAAGACTTTTTTTTTTTTTTTTTTTTTTTGAGATAGTCTTGCTGTGTTGCCCAGGCTGGAGTGCACTGGCGTGATCTTGGCTCTCTGCAACCTCCTCCTCCTGGATTCAAGCGATTATCCTGCCTCAGCCTCCTGAGTAGAGGGGATTATAGGTTTGCACAACCACGCCCAGCCGGAAGACTTTTCTCTGAGGAATGTTATCAGCCTAGAGGAATGATGAACAGAGGCTAACACTGGGGTTTTCCAAACAAATGGTTGAACAAGGTCATCCGTCAGTGAAGCTCAGGATCCATGTATCAGACACATTCTGTGCACTGCTTCTAATCCTTTTGGTCTCACCTCTTACTCCACCCACATCTGCAGCCACCTTTCCATCAAATTCCATACAGCTTTGGAAGGCAAAGGAAAGTCTCCTCTCAGCCCTGAATCTCAAAGTTTCTCTGACATTGTGTGGGTCTGCAGAACCACTCACATCAGCATTTAGGCACGTGCAACCTAGAAATTTAGGGAACATCTCTGGGGCCACCTTTGAGGATAAACGTTTTCCTCTGTCATCCCGAGTGTACAATTCTGAGACACATTTCATAAGACTCAAAATATCTCATGGAATGCAGCACAAGTCACCTAAAATGGTGGCCAACTAAGTAACACAGCATTGTATTGGCTTTCTCTCTGTCCTTTCTCACCGCCTCAGTCCCTCCCACGTTTCTGCTTCCTTGTATCAATTCCCAGATGAGCTACCGCCATGTAACTCTTTGTCTTGGGCTCTTCTTTGGAGGAAGCCTCAGCTAATACAACAAGGCCCAATCCCACACTCAAAGCTGAGACGGAGTCTTGCTCTGTCACCCAGGCTGGAGTGCAGTGGCGCGATCTCTGCTCACGGCAGCCTCCACCTCCCCGATTCAAGCGATTCTCCTGCCTCAACCTCCTGAGTAGTTGGGATTACAGGCGCATGCCACCATGCCCGGCTGAGGTGGGAGGACTGCTTGAGGCCAGGAATTTGAGACCAGCCTAGCCAACATGATGAAACCCCCCCTCTACTAAAAATACTAAAATTAGACAGGCGTGCAGGCATGGTGGCACGTACCTGTAATCACAGCAACTTGGGTGGCTGAGGAAAGAGAATGGCTTGAACCCAGGAGGCAGAGTTTGCAGTGAGCTAAGATCACACCACTGCACTTCAGCCTTGGCAACACAGCAAGACTGTCAAGAAAGAAAGTAAGGAAGGGAGGGAGGGAGGAAGGAAAGGAGGGAAGGAGGAAGGGCAATCTACAGAATGGAAGAAAATATTTGCATATATCCGATAAGGGGTTAATTTTCAAAATATAGGAAAAGCCAGGTGTAATGGCTCATGCCTGTCATCCTATCATTTCGGGAGGCCAAGGCAAGTGGATTGCTTGAGGCCAGGAGTTCAAGATCAGCCTGGCCAACATGGTGAAACCCCGTCTCTACTAAAAATACAAAAATTATCTGGGCATAGTGGCTCACACCTGTAGTCCCAGCTACTGGGGAAGCTGAGGCAGGAGAATTGCTTGAACTCAGGATAGAGGCTACAGTGAGTTGAAATCATGTCACTGCACTCCAACCTGGGCGACAGAGTGAGACTCCATCTCTAAATAAATAAATAAACAAATAAAATACGGGAAGAATTCCTACAACTCCATAGCAAAAATAACAAATGGCCTGATTTTTTTTTTTTTTAAAGACAAAGTTTTGCTCTTGTCACCCATGCTGGAGTGCAGTGGCGCCATCTCTGCTCACTGCAACTTCCGCCTCCTGGGTACAAGTGATTCTCCTGACAAATGGCCTGATTATTTAAATGGGCAAAGGATATGAACAGATATTTCCCCCAAAGAAGGCATACAAATGATCAACAGGTGTATAAAAGATGCTCAACCTCATTATCAGAGAAATGCAAATCAAAACTACAGTAAGATATTACCTTCTACCTTTTAGGATGGACTTTTTTTTTTTTTTTTTTTTTGAGACAGAGTCTCGCTCTGTCGCCCAGGCTGGAGTGCAGTGGCGCGATCTCGGCTCACTGCAAGCTCCACCTCCCGGGTTCACGCCATTCTCTTGCCTTAGCCTCCGAGTAGCTGGGACTACAGGCGCCCACCACCATGCCCAACTAGTTTTTTGTATTTTTAGTAGAGACGGGGTTTCACCATGTTGGCCAGGCTGGTCTCGAACTCCTGACCTTGTGATGCTCCTGCCTCGGCCTCCTATGTACATTTAGAAATGCTTATAATAGGCCAGGCGCAGTGGCTCACACCTATAATCCCAGCATTTTGGGAGGCTGAGGTGGGTGGATCATGAGGTCAGGAGATCAAGACCATCCTGGCTAACATGGTGAAACCTCGTCTCCACTAAAAATACAAAAAATTAGACAGGCGTGGTGGCGGGTGCCTGTAGTCTCAGCTACTTGGGAGGCTGAGGCAGGAGAATGGCATGAACCTGGGAGGTGGAGCTTGCAGTGAGCCAAGATCGCGCCACTGCACTCCAGCCTGGGCAACAGAGCAAGACTCCGTCTCAAAAAAAACAAAGGTAACTTGGTGAGGAAATGGGGAAATTGGAACTCTTATACACTGATTGTGGGAATGTAAAATGCTGCAGCAGCTATGGAAAACACTATGGAGATTCCTCAAAAAATTAGATATAGGCCAGCTGTAGTGGCTCACACTCACAATCCCAGCACTTTGGGAAGCCAAGGTGAGAGGATAACTTGAGCCCAGTTCAAGACCAGCCTTTGCAACATAGGAAGACCCCATCTCTACAAAATATTTAAAAATGTTTTAAAGTTTAAGTTATTGAATAAATAAATAAAAATTCAAAAATCAGCTGGGAATCTCTGGTTCCCAGCAACTCAGGAGGCTGAGGTAGAAGGATTGCTTGAGCCCATGAGGTGGGGGCTACAGCAAGCCAATATCATGCCGCTACACTCCAGCCTGGGTGACAGAGCGAGACCCTGTATCAAAAAAAAAAAAAAAGCAAAATAGAACTAAATATGATTCAGCAATCCCACTTCTGGGTATATATCCAAAAATAATTGAAATCAGGGCCAGGTGCAGTGGCTCACGCCTGTAATCCCAGCACTTTTGGAGGCCAAGGCAGGCAGATCACCTGAGGTCAGGAGTTTGAGACCAGCCTGGCCAACATGGTGAAACCCCCATCTCTACTAAAAATACAAAAATTAGCCAGGCTTGGTGGTGGACACCTGTAATCCCAGCTACTTGGGAGGCTGAGGCAGGAGAATAGCTTGAACCCAGGAGGTGGAGGTTGCAGTGAGCCGAGACCACACCACTGCACTCCAGCCTGGTCAACAGAGTGAGAATCTGTCTCAAAAAAAAGAAAAAAAGAATTGAAAAGGCCGGGTGCTGTGGCTCAGGCCTGTAATCCCAACACCTTGGGAAGCCGAGGTGGGCGGATCACCTGAGGTCGGGAGTTCGAGACCAGCGTGACCAACATGGAGAAACCCTGTCTTTACTAAAAATACAAAAAATTTGCCGGGCGTGGTGGCACATGCCTGTAATCCCAGCTCCTCGGGAGGCTGAGGCAAGAGAATAGCTTGAACCCGGGAGGTGGAGGTTGCTGTGAGCCGACATCATTGCCATTTCACAAGAGTGAAACTCCATCTCAAAAAAAAAAAAAAAAAAGAATCAAAATCAGTGTCCCCAAGAGATATCTGCACTCCCATGTTCACAGCAGCATTATTCACAATAGTCAAGATATGGAAACAATCCAAATATCCATCGACAGATGAATGGATAAAGAAGATGTGTATATACGTAAAATGAAATATTATTTGTCCTTTAAAAGGTAGGAAGTCCTGCCACTGACGGCAATAAGGATGAAATTGGAAGACATTTTCCTAAGAGAAACCAGTCACAAAGCGACAAAAACTGCATGATTT
Organism: Homo sapiens; assembly: GCF_000001405.40. Classification (NCBI taxonomy): domain Eukaryota; kingdom Metazoa; phylum Chordata; class Mammalia; order Primates; family Hominidae; genus Homo; species Homo sapiens. The sequence continues at coordinate 92,873,456 of NC_000015.10, read as the reverse complement.
CATTCATGTTATAAATCTGTAATAGTCAAACTCATAGAAGCAGAAAATACAATAGAGGGCCGAGTGCAGTGTCTCATGCCTATAATCCTAGCATTTTGGGAGGCCAAGGTGGGTGGATCCCCTGAAGTCAAGAGTTCGAGACCAGCCTGACCAATATCGTGAAACCCCATCTCTACTAAAAACACAAAAATTAGCCAGGCATGGTGGGGGGGCACCTGTAATCCTAGCTACTTGGGAGGCTGAGGCAGGAGAATCAACTGAGCCCAGGAAGCGGAGGTTGCAGTGAGCAGAGATTGCACCACTGCATTCCAGCCTGGCGATAGAGCGAGACTCTGTCTCAGAAAGAAAAAAAAGAAAGAAAGAAAAGAAAAAGAAACATTATGGGCCAGGTGCGGTGGCTCACACCTGTAATCCCAGAACTTTGGGAGACCAAGGAGGGCTGATCACCTGAGGTCAGTAGTTCAAGACCACCCTGGGCAACATGGTGAAACCCTGTCTCTACTAAATACAAAAATTGGCCAGGTGTGGTGGTACCCACCTGTAATCCCAGCTACTCAAGAGGCTGAGGCAGGAGAATCACTTGAACCCGGGAGGCAGAGGTTGCAGTGAGCCCAGATTGCACCACTGCACTCTGGCGTGGGCAACAGAGCGAGACTCCATCTAAAAAAAAATAAAAATAAAAATACAAGAAACACAGGCTTTTAAGACATTAGACAACAAGCAACAGAGATCTGTGATTCCTGAGAGAAAACAAATGGCATAAGCACTCTTTTTGCCCCCGTGTGTTGTCTGGATTGCATTTCCAGGCCTCAGTGCTGGGAGGGGAAACCCAGGCAGAACCAGTGTTCTCCCTAAATGGAGGAGATAGATCTGGGAGCATAGGGAGGGCCAGGTGGCTAGAGTTACCAGGGCAGAGTACCAGAGAGAATATGAGCCATAGAAGAAAACACTGATGGCCAGGTGCAGTGGCTCATGCCTGTAATCCCAGCAGTTTGGGAGGCCTAGGCGGGTGGACCGCCTGAGGTCAGGAGTTTGAGACCAGCCTGACCAATATGGTGAAACCCTGTCTCTACTAAAAATACAAAAACTAGCCGGGCGTGGTGGTGGGCACCTGTAGTCAGAGCTTCTCAGGAGGCTGAGGCAGGAGAATCCAGGAGGCGGAGGTTGCAGTGAGCCGAGATCGAGCCAGTCGACTCCAGCCTGGGCGACAGAGTGAGACCCTGTCTCAGAAACAAACAAACAAACAAAAGTAAAATCAGAGTAAGATACCACTACATGCATAGGAGACAGCTGAGAATTTAAAAGACAATGCCAAGTGTTGGTAAGGATGTGGAACTCTCGTACTTTGCCAATGAAAATGCAAAATGGCACAGCTACTTTGGAAATATTTGGCGGTTTCTTATACAGTTAAGTATAGTTACCGCATCACCCTGATCCTAGGTATTTACCCAAATGGTATCGCTATAAAATTCAAAACTATTCAACAATAAAAATTAATGAGATATTGATACATGCAATCTGGATGAATCTCAGATCTAATTTTGCTGAGTGAAATAAGCCAAACAAAACAGTGCATTCTCTACAATTCCATTTATATGAAATTCTAGAAAATGCAAAATAATAGAAAGCAGATCAGTGCCTGGGGATCGAGAGTGGGAAAGAGATGGAAGGAGGGGATTTCAAAAGGGCATGAGGAAATTTTCAAGGGTAATGATTATGTTCACCGTCTGGATCGTGGTGATGGTTTCTCAGATATGTATGTCAGAACTTATCAAATTGTACACTTTAAACACGCGCAGCTAATTGTTGTCAATTATACATCAGTAAGACTGTGTTATTAAAAATTGCATGGCTGGGCACGGTGGCTCACACCTATAATCCCAACACTTTGGGATGCTGAGGCAGGTGGATCACCTGAGGTCAGGAGTTTGAGACCAGCCTGGACAACATGGTGAAACCCCATCTCTATTAAAAATACAAAAATTAGGCTGGGCGCAGTGGCTCACACCTGTAATCCCAGCACTTTGGGAGGCCGAGGCAGGCGAATCACGAGGTCAAGAGATCAAGACCATCCTGGCCAACAGGATGAAACCCTGTCTCTACTAAAAATACAAAAATTAGCCAGGTGTGGTGGCACACGCCTGTCGTCCCAGCTACTCGGGAGGCTGAGGCAGGAGAATTGCTTGAATCCGGGAGGTGGAGGCTGCAGTGAGCTGAGATCACACCACTGCATTTCAGCCTGGGCAAAAGAGCGAGACTCTGTCTCAAAAACAAAAAAAAAAATTAGCTGGCCATGGTGGCATGCACCTGTAGTCCCAGCTACTCAGGAGGCTGAGGCAGAAGAATTGCTTGAACCCAAGAGGCAAAGATTGCAGTGAGCTGAGATCATGCCACTGCACTCCAGACTGGGTGACAGAGCCAGAGTCCATCTCACAGAAAAAAAAAAAAAAAAAAAAAAAAAAATTGCATACAGGTTGCCTTCAGATACCTCGTGATAAATAAAGAAAAAAAGAAAAATGCCTAAGGGTTTCCTTGTTTCCTTATTTGTCACTGGAGTAGCCTGTGAAGATGGTACACTTAAATATTTATTCCTATTTCATTTTTTTTTTACCACACATGTATTTTATTCTTTGACTTCTTGTAATTTTTAATTTTTTAAATAGCACCTGGTTCAAAATTCAAAAAGTACAAAAGGATATATAATGAAAAGCCTCTCATCTCTCTTTCCATCCATCCAGTACCCCTCCCTGAGAGCAGTTAATGTAGCTAGTTTTCAAAGTATCTTTCCTAAGATATTCCAGATTTTATTATAAGGCACATGCTACTGAGATAAACTAGAATGGGGTTGTATTTTATCTGTTGGCTCAAAGACTTCAGGATCAAGAGCATGTTCAACATCAGACAAATGGTCCTGTACAATCTTTGTGAAGCCACACTATCAGGCTATCAGGTGGAAGCCCCACCCCACTGCCACACCCTGCTGAAAATGCCACCGACGATCTCAAATATTTCTCTCCTCTTTGACCTTTCTCTTGCACCTAACAGTAACCTCTCACCTCTTGTAGCTCTCAGTACCTGGTCCTTCCTGACACCGCATGGTCCCAGCTTTCCTCTGACACCTTTAGCCCTTTCTTTTCCATTCATCTTCCTGTTTGCCTTCTGGTTTCCCTCTGACTCTCTACATGAAGACGGTTCCCAGGCGCTGTCCTTGAAGGGCTCCCTAAAAAAGTCTTACCGGTTTGCAACTAGCTGCGTGCACTAAGGCCTCTTTTAAGTGTTAAGTTGGTGTTTTGCCAGCTTAATGCATCACCTACTCTGGCCTCAGCCAGACTGTTACTGTCCTGTCAGCCTGTCTGGCACACGACTGCCCCCCACATTTGCACAGCCCTCCCCACAGCCCTCAAATGTGCACTGCTCACATCTCCGGCTCTGTGCCCATCCCACAGGGCCAGTTCATGCAAACTGTTTGGATTTCTCTCTTCCAAAGTGATTACTTTCCCTCCTTAGGATTTCTACCAGTTAACGCCTATGCTATTTCTAAGAAGTTGGTTTTTATCATAAATTATTATCTATTTGAGTACAAGGACTGTATCTCCCTAAGTAGACTCAACCTAGCTTTACTGGAGGTAGAAACCTTGGCTTAGATTTATTTTGTTTACTAATGCACAGCTGTAGATGCTCAAATAACTGAGGGAATGTTTGCTGTATCAAAATTACCCAACAGGACATTAAAATACCCAATTGTACATCAAATTCCATTAAGTAGATTAGGAGAACTTGATATTGAATGGGCTTTAACAAGGTTTCACCAAAGTAAATCACCACAATTTAAGGTAGCTTTTATGTAAATATAGGCTTCCATTTATGAGAGCTCCTAAAAAGCAGGATACACCCTGTATGTCAGTGATGAAAAAGTAGATTTTGCCGTTGGCACTCTGATAGAATCTCTGGAATGCTGGCATGTTATGCAATAGCCCCTAACCAGCCAACCAGAAGTATCTCAATCCTGAGAACTCTTTGGTACTTTACTTGGGCTCTTACTATTTTCAGTTTGCAGTACAGTGATTCATTTACAAGTGCCTTCTCCTTACTAGGTGTAGGCACTAGGAAGACAGACAGTGGTAGCAACAAGCCAAGCGCAAGGACCTTGGCACCATCAGCTTTGAGATCCAAACCTGACTCGGCCATTCCCTGGCTGTCTGACCCCAGCCTGTTCTGACCCCATCAAAATACATGACTAGATGGCCACACGTGGTGGCGTGCCCCTGTAGTCCCAACTACATGGGAAGCTGAGGTGGAGGATCACTTGAACCCAGCAGTTCAAGGCTGTGGTGCACTATGATAGTACCTGGGCAATACAATGAGACCCATCCCTACAAAAAAAACATTTAAAAATTAGCCAGGTGTAGAGGCACGTGCCTGTAGTCCCAGCACTGCCGGGCTGAGTTGGGAGGATCGCCTGAGCCCAAGAATTCGAAGGTGCAGTGAGCTATGATCATGCCACTTCACTCCAGCCTGAGTGACAGAGCGAGACCCCATCTCTTTTAAAAAATAAAATAAAATAAAGATTATATAGAAAGCTCCACATTGTCCAATCTGTTTGTACACCATTGTCAACCATCAAAAACCCACTTGGCAGCAAATGAGATGGACTGCCTGGCCTGGGAACTACAGGCCAATTGAAAAAGACTGTTCCTGTTGCAAAATATTGCAGGGTCACGGCCGGGCGCGGTGGCTCATGCTTGTAATCCCAGCACTTTGGGAGGCCGAGGCGGGCAGATCACGAGGTCAGAAGATCGAGACCACGGTGAAACCCCGTCTCTACTAAAAATACAAAAAAATTAGCCGGGCGTGGTGTCGAGCGCCTGTAAGTCCCAGCTACTCGGAGAGGCTGAGGCAGGAGAATGGCGTGAACTCGGGAGGCGGAGCTTGCAGTGAGCCGAGACTGCGCCACTGCACTCCAGCCTGGGTGACGGAGCGAGACTCTGTCTCAAAAAAAAAAAAAAAAAAAAAAAATTGCAGGGTCACAAAACAAGCAAGCCATGGGTCTTTAATTTTAAATATTTGGCTGTGCACTGTGGCTCACACCTGTAATCTCAGCACTTTGGGAGGCCAAGGCGGGCGGATCACTTGGGTCCAGGTGTTCGAGATCAGCCTGGCCAACATGGCGAAACCCCATCTCTACTAAAAATACAAAAACTTATCCCAGCCTGGTGGTGTGCACCTGTGGTTCCAGCTATTCATGGAGATCTGAGGCAGGAGGATCACTTGAGCCCAGGAGGTCAAGGCTGCTGTGAGCCCTGATTGCGCCACGGTGCTGCACCCTGGACGACAGAGTGAGACCCTGTCTCAAAAAATATAAGTAAGGCCGGGCGCAGTGGCTCACGCCTGTAATCCCAGCACTTTGGGAGGCCGAGGCTGGCAGATCACAAGGTCAGGAGTCTGAGACCCACCTGACCAACATGGCAAAATCCCTTCTGTACTAAAAATACAAAAATTAGCCTGGCGTGGTGGCACGCGCCTGTAATCCCAGCTACTCGGGAGGCTGAGGCAGGAGAATCACTTGAACCCAGGAGGCGGAGGTTACAGTGAGCCGAGATCACCCCATTGCACTCCAGCCTGGGCTACAGAGCGAGACTCCATCTCAAAAAATAATAATAATAATAAATAAATAAAATTAAAATGTGATACTTTGTTCATCAGAGATATATTGACATTATTTTAACCTTTAAAAATATTACATGGAAATATTATTTGTTTTGATTATTGAGTTTTTTGGTGCCTCAGTTGCTTCATCCTAACCCCAGCCCTGCTAGTATCTATAGAATCTGAGAAAGGGGACTGGTAACCAGGAGCTTTGGCTCTGACTTCAGCTCTGCCATTTACAAGCTTAGAGACTTGGACTCCCCGAGCCTCACCTTCACAACTCTCCCAGTCTCACAATATGGATGATTATATCTGCCCCATTCTTTGCAGGGCAGTTAAATATGAGGGTCAAATGAGATAATGTAGGAAAGAACATTTTTAAAAGAACATTTTGCTATATATGCAAAAGGAGATAATAATTAGCAATAGTTTTTCTTCCAGCTCACTCTTTGAGCAGGGATTAGCAAATCTAGCTTGATCTGTGAGCTCCTGAATCAGACAGGATGGTAACGTTCACAAACCAGAAACCCTGGGACAACCAACACACCCAGATCTATGCAGCTCCACGGTACTGACTGACGCTGGAGCAAGTCTATGCTAGCACAGTGGCCCCGACCACTACTTCCACCTCTCTGGGACACAGAAATGGGATATATACCCGAAGAGAGAGAGAGAGAGAGAGAGAGAGAGAGAGATTATATTATAGCTGATATATTTCTTAGATCCTGAACCCTCTAAATCTCATGTTGAATTGCAATCCCCAGTTTTGGAGATGGGGCTTGGTGGGAGGTGATTGAATCATGGGGGTGGATCTCTCATGATTTGGTGCTGTCCTTGCAATGGTGAGTGAGTTCTCAGGAGATCTGGTTGTTTAGAAGTGTGTGGTACCTCTCCCCCAACTCTCCCTCTTCTTCCTGCTCTGACCTTGTGATGGGGCCACTCCCGCTTCACATTCCACCATGAATAAAAGCTCCTTGAGGCCTCCCCAGACGCCAGCCAGATGCTGGTGCCATGATTGTACAGCCTGCAGAACTGTGAGCCAATTAAACTTCTTTTCTTTCTAAATTACCCAGTCTCATGTATTCCTTTATAGCAAGGCAAGTATGGCCTAACACAATATCCTTTACAAGGTTTTTATGACCTGGCCGGGTGCACTGGCTCACAAAGGAGGCCGAGGTGGGCAGATCATTTGAGGCCAGGAGTTCGAGACCAGCAGGGTCAACATGGTGAAACCCTGTCTTTACTAAAAATACAAAAATTAGGCAGGTGTGGTGATGGGTGCCTGTAATCCCAGCTACTCAGAAGGCTGAGGCAGGAAAATCACTTGAACCTGGGAAGTGAAGGCTGCAGTGAGCCGAGATCATGCCACTGCACTCCAGCCTGGGTGACACCGAGAGATTCTGTCTCAAATAAACAAACAAACACACAAACAAAGTTTATATGACCAGTGAGCTCAGCTGATGTATTTTAGGCCTGAATTAACTATTCCCAGATTGTAGGCTTTTGCCCAGGAAAAAAGCATAACTTTAAGTGGGCCAACACCTCCTCCATTTGTTTCTTAACAATTGCATTACTTTTGTGTAATCATTATACTCACACCATATCAAGTTTTAAAGTACAGATCGTGGGCTGGGCACGGTGGCTCATGCCTGTAATCCCAGCACTTTGGGAGGCTGAGGTGGGTGCATCACCTGAGGTTAGGGATTCGAGACCAGCATGGCCAACATGGCGAAACCCCATCTCTATTAAAAATACAAAAATTAGCCAGGTATGGTAGCACATGCCTATAATCCCAGCTACTTAGGAGGCTGAGGCAGGAAAATCACTTGAGACAGAAGTTGCAGTGAGCCGAGATCATGCCAGTGAGCCAAGATCACTCTTGGTGACAGAGTGAGACTCCATCTCTAAAAAAAATAAAATAAAATAAAATAATAAATAATTTTATGTATTAATAAAATTAATACATAAATTTAATAAAATGAAGTATAGATTGTGGACTGGTAATTAAGGGTCCTCCTAAAGCCTTCTTGTAGCATTAATTTACTTGTTTCTTGCACAATTAGGTAATTTATTTGTGACATTTCACTGGTGTTTCATTAAAGCAGTGTTATTCTTTGCGGTGCCTCACACCTGTAATCCCAGCACTTTGGGAGGCCGAGGAGGGCAGATCACAAGGTCAGGAGATCGAGACGATCCTGGCTAACACGGTGAAACCCCATCTCTACTAAAAATACAAAAAAATTAGCTGGGCATGGTGGGGGGCACCTGTAGTCCCAGCTACTCGGGAGGCTGAAGCAGGAAAATGGCATGAACCCGGGAGGCAGAGCTTGCAGTGAGCCAAGACTGAGCCACCGCACTCCAGCCTGGGTGACAGAACAAAATTCCGTCTCAAAAGAAAAAGAAAAAAAAAAAAAACAGTGTTATTCTTGTTACCTATTTTAGGTATTTCTTTTCTTGTTGTTGTAGCAGTTAAGATCAGCGATGGTAAAAAGTTTACTTTTGGAGGCAATCTGGTTTTGCTTCTTTGGTTTATTTAAAATGACCAAAGGTTTTCAAAGTTTATGAACCAGGGTTCCAAAACCTTTTCTAATATTTGGAGAAAGTTTTAAACTGCATATGTGGAGCGTAATATAATTCTTTTCAACTTTCCTGTGTTGATATTTTTTCACCCTAGAATTTTGGGGTTTGTTTTTGCTGCTTTCATAAGCAGGTGCCATATACAATGCAAAATGAAAGGATCACTGAGGCCGGGGACAGTGGCTCATACCTGTAATCCCAGCACTTTGGGAGGCTGAGGCGGGTAGATCACTTGAGGTCAGGAGTCCAAGAACAGCCTGACCAAGATGGTGAAACCCCGTCTGTACTAAAAATACAAAAATTAGCCAGGCATGGCGGTGCGTGCTTGTTAGCCCAGCTACTTGAGAGGAAGATTGCTTGAACCCAGGAGGCTGAGTTTGCAGTGAGGCAAACTCAGCCTCGGTGACAGAGTGAGACTCTGTCTCATCATTGAGGTAACATACTTTGTGATTATGGTCCAAAGTACCTGCATCAGTCAGTGCCTGCTCCACATTGCCTTTATTTTTTTAATTTTAATTTTTATTTTTGGAGACAGGGTCTTGCTGTGTCACCCAGGCTTGAATGCAGTGATGTGATCACAGCTCACTGCACACATTGTCTTTAAAACAAAGACTGCCTGCTCCAACGTGAGGTCAGCTTTTTCCCTACCCTCTGTCTCAAGAGTGAAAGAACACAGTTGTCAAAGACATACACTTTGTATATACCTTTATTCTCACCTTATTTCAGTGTATGTCATTACCAGTTTGCATGTCTGTAGTGGGTATTTGAGGCATTGGCCACTCAAGCATCCATTCACTTGAATTTGCTATAGGGAAAATCCTGCCTCTTTGGAGACTGTTCAGTGACAGTCATATTTCCCCACTTTATGCCAGCACATGAATCAAAGTTAGCCACTCAGTCATCCCTCCCTCTCTCTCCCTTCTTTCAGTTGAATCTTACTATGCTTTTAATGTCTGTAGGATCTGTACTGATGACACATCTTTCATTTATATTTTCTCATCTATTTTATGGATCAGTCTAGCCAGGGCTTTATCAACTTTGTTGATCTTCTCAAGGTTCCAAATTTAACTTTGTTAATTGTCTCTCTTGTTTGTTTTCTATTTCATTGATTACTACTCCATCCTTATTATTTTCTTCCTTCTACATACCTCCTTAGGTTGACATTGTTCTTAAGACAGAAACTTCAGTCATTAATTTTAATTTTAGGCCATTCTTCGTCTTCTTTCCATTTTCTTTTCTTTTTTTTTTTTTTTTTTTTTTTTGAGACGAAGTCTCCCACTGTCGCCTGGGCTGGAGTGCAGTGGCATGGTGGCATGATCTCAGCTCACTGCAGCCTCTGCCTCCCGCATTCAAGTGATTCTCCTGCCTCAGCCTCCCAAGTAGCTGGGATTACAGGCACCTGCCACCATGTCCACCTAATTTTTTGTATCTTTAGTAGAGACAGGGTTTCACTATGTTGGCCAGGCTGGTCTCAAACTCCTGACCTCGTGATCCTTCTGCCTCAGCCTCCCAAAGTGCTGGGATTACAGGTGTGAGCCACCACACCCAGCTAAAATTCAGCCTTTTTTTTTTTTTTTTTTTTTTTGAGATGGAGTCTCACTCTGTCACCCAGGCTAGATGGAGTGCAGTGGCATGATCTCGGCTCACTGCAACTTCTGCCTCCTGGGTTCTAGAGATTCTCATGACTCAGCATCCTAAGTAGCTGGGACTACAGGCAAGCACCACCATGCCCAGCTAATTTTTTAATTTTTAGCAGAGATGGAGTTTTGCCATGTTGGCAAGACTGGTCTCAAACTCCTGACCTCAAGTGATCTGCCCACCTTGGCCTCCCAAAGTACTGGGATTATAGACGTGAGCCACCGTGCCTGGCTTTAGGCCTTTCTTCTTTTTTAATGTAATCACTTAAAGCTATAAATTTCCCTGTGAGTACTACTTTGAATGCATCCTATAATTTTTTTTTTTTTTTTTTTTTTTTTTGTAGAGACAGGGTCTCAATATGTTGCCCAGGCTGGTCTCAAACTCCTGGACTCAAGTGATACTCCCATCTTGGCCACCTAAAGTTCTGCGATTATAAATATGAGCCATCACACCCAGCCCTATATTTTTTATATGCTGTATTTATTATTATTCAGTTTGAAATATTTTTAACCACACTTTTGGTTCCTTCTCTGACCTATGAATTAGTTAGAAATATGTCATTTAATTTCCAAACATTTGCAGTTTTCCAAGATATATTATTGTTACTAATATCTAATTTAATTCCATACGGTCACAGAATGCATTCTATATTATTTCAATAATTTCAGTTATTGACACTGTTTTGTGGCCCGCATATATCTAACTTGGTGAATGTACCCACGTGTACTTGAAAATGACGTATATTATAGAGTTGTTAGATACAGTGTTCTACAAATAAATATTAGGTCAAGGAGGTTGAAAATGATATTCAGGTCATCTACGTCTTTGTTGATTAATTGCTGAGAGAGTGTGTTTAAAAAACTCTCCAACTGCCCGGGAGCAGTGGTTGCCTGTAAAATCAGCACTTTGGGAGGGCAAGACGGTTGGATCATGAGGTCAGGAGATCGAGACCATCCTGGCTAACATGGTGAAACCCTGTCTCTACTAAAAATACAAAAAATTAGCCGGGCGTGATGGGGGGTGCCTGTAGTCCCAGCTACTCGGGAGGCTGAGGCAGAAGAATGGCGTGAACCCGGGAGGCGGAGCTTGCAGTGAGCCAAGATCGTGCCACTGCACTCCAGCCTGGGCGACTGAGCTGGACTCCATCTCAAAAAAAAAAAAAAACCCTCCAACTATAGGCCAGGCGTGGTGGCTCACGTCTGTAATCCCAGCACTTTGGGAGGCTGAAGTGGGTGGATCACCTAAGGTCAGGAGTTCGAGACCAGCCTGGCTAACATGGTGAAACCCCACCTCTACTAAAAACATACAAAAAATTAGCTGGGCATGGTGGTGCACATCTGTAGTCCCAGCTACTCAGGAGGCTGAACCAGGAGAATTGCTTGAACCCTGGAGGCAGAGGTTGCAGTGAGCCAAGATCATACCACTGCACTCCAGCCTGGGTGACAGAGCAAGACTCCATCTCAGAAAACAAAACAACAAGAACAACAACAACAAAAAAAAACAACTCTAATTGTGGAATGATCTACTTTTCTCTGTCAATTTTTGTTTCATGAGTCTTGAGGATGTGTTACTAGGCACATACACATTATTGTTATACCTTCCTGATGAATTGACTCTTTTGTCATTTAAAGTGTTCATCTTTTCCTTGAAATTTTTTGCTGACGTAGTTGTGATATTTGTCCCCTCCAAATCTCATGTGAAAATGTCATTCTCAATGTTGGAGGTGAGGCCTAGTGGGAGATGTTTTGGTCATAGGGGAGGATCCCTCACAAATGGGTATGTGCCCTCCCCACAATAATGAGTGAGTCTTTGCTCTATTAGTTCATCCAAGAGCTGGTTGTTTAAAGAGGTGTGGCATTCCAGCCAGGCCAACATGGTGAAAAACCATCTCTACTAAAAATACCAAAACTAGCTGGGCATGGTGGCACATGCCTGTAATCCCAGCTACTTGGGAGGCTGAGGCAGAAGAATTGCTTGAACCTGGGAGGTAGTAGCTATAGCTACTGCTGAACACACAGATGTTATTTGTGTTTTTTGGCCAGGCACGGTGGCTCATCCCTGTAATCCCAGCACTTTAGGAGGCTGAGGCGAGCAGATCACCTGACGTCAGGAGTTCGAGACCAGCCTGACCAACATGGAGAAACCCTGTCTCTACTAAAAATACAAAATTAGCCAGGCATGGTGGCATGTGGCTGTAATCCCAGCTACTTGGGAGGCTTAGGCAGGAGAACCGCTTGAACCTGGGAGGTGGAGGTTGCAGTGAGCCAAGATCGCACCATTGCACTCCAACCTGGCAACAAGAGCAAAAACCCATCTCAAACAACAACAACAAAAAATTAGCCAGGCATGGTGGCATATGCGTGTAATCCCAGCTACTCGGGAGGCTGAGGCAGAAGAATCGCTTGAACCCAGGAGGCAGTAGCTATAGATACTGCTGAACACACAGATGTTGTGTTTTCATGTAGAGGACATCTGGGGCTGGAATAGGTGTCACCTCTTGGTGGCTGAATTAGACCTTATGTATATAAAGCTCCGATACATTTATCCTGAATGTTTAGTGCCTTTTATATATTTAGCATCTTCTATGTCTCATTCATATTTAGTGTATTAAATATTTAATATTCAGGTAACTGATAAATATTAAGTACCTTTTGGCCTTTCTATTCTTTTCTATATATGTTGAACACATACATACATGCTGCATTTCCTTTTTTTTTTTTTTTTTTTTTTTTGAGACAGATTCTTGCTGTGTTGCCCAGGCTGGAGTGCAGTGGCGCAATCTCGGTTCACTGCAGGCTCCCCCTCTCAGGTTCAAGCAATCTCCTGCCTCAGGCTCCTAAGTAGCTGGGATAATAGGTGTGCACCACCACACCCAGCTAATTTTTGTGTTCTTAGTAGGGATGAAGTTTCACCATGTTGGCCAGGCTGGTCTTGAACTCCTGACCTCAGGTTATCTGCCTACCTTGGCCCCTCAAAGTGCTGGGATTACAGGCGTGAGCCACCGCGCTTGGCCACACCAGCTAAATTCTTAAGTTTTTTGTAGAGATGGAGGAATCTTGCTATGTTGCCTGGCCTGGTCTCGAACTCCCAAACACAAGCAATCCTCCCACCTCAGCCTCCCAAAGTGATGGGATTACAGATGTGAGCCACCATGCCTAGCCAACTGTATATCTTTTACCAAATTTGAGAAGCCGTTGTTTGTTCAAATATTTTTTTCTACCCTCTTTAAAACATTTCCTTCCTCATACCAACCTGGGTGACACAGTAAAACTCTGTCTCAAAAAATGAAAATAAAATAAAAAATTTCCTTCCTTTTGGGACTCCAATTACCTGTATTTAGACTTATTGATACTGTCCTACAGTTTCCTTTTTTATTTTTTGGTCTTTATTATTCAGATTGCATACTCTATTGTTATATCTTCAAGTTACCTGACTCTGTCATCTTCATCCTACTATTAACCCCATTCAGTGAATTTTTCATTTATTTATTTAAATTTTTTTGAGATAGAATCTCACTCTGTCACCCAGGCTGTAGTGTAGAAACATTTTCAATTATAAAATTTCTTCCAGCTCTTTTTCATACGTCTCTGATGAGATTTTCTATGTGTTCATTCATTCCAAATATGGTTTCCTTTACTTAATGGAACATGGTTACATGGGCTGCTATAAGGCTCTTGTCTGAAAATTCCAACATGTGGAGTCACTCAGAATTGTTCTCTATTGATGACTTTTTCGGTGAGAATGGATTGCATTTTCCTGGTTCTTCATATATTGAGTGATTGTTATTGTATCTCGGAATTTATGATGTTATTTTGTGGAGACCCTGGTTTTACCTCCCCAGAGATTACTGTTCATTTTGTTTTAGCTGGCACTTACCTTGGAGATATTCAAACTGCAAATTCCGACTTGCCCACAGTGGGCAGTAGTTCAAGTCTCACTTCTGTTCTTTTAGCCATAAATGCAAGTTGCTTTGAATCTGTTTCACTTGAGTATGGTTCAAGAGTCAGCCTAAGACTTGGGCTAAGTGTACATAGATTTTGGAGCTCCCTTTTTCTAACTCCTTCCGGTCTGAGATTCCCCCTTCATTTTCTGATGGCCATGGTGGCCCTGGGATTTGTCCCCTGGTTCCTTGGCCCAAAAAGTTGGTAGGCTTTCCACTGAAGTTACAACTACCCTATTCCACAAAATGACAGTCTTTCTTCTGGCCAAAATCACACACAAAAAGGGAAACCCACCTTGAATCAGTTCCTTTAAGTTTCAACTCCTCTCCAAAATCTGACTAATTTGTTAACTCTCCAGAAACACTGGTTGGTTTCTTTTGCATTTTGCCCATCATCTATAGTGATCTTGGTGGGGGGACAGTCTGTTAGGCTCTTACTCTGCTATAGTGGAAGTGGAATTCTCTTTCTGTTGAATTTTTTTCATTGACAAAAAATTCTGTATATTTATGGGCGGGGTGCAGTGGCTCATGCCTGCAATCCCAGCAGTTTAGGAGGCCGAGGCCGGCGGATCACAAGGTCATGAGTTCGAGACCAGCCTGGCCAATATGGTGAAACCCTGTCTCTACTAAGAAAATTAGTGGGGGTGTGGTGGCGTGCCTGTAGTCCCAGCTACTCGGGAGGCTGAGGCAGAAGAATCACTTGAACCTGGGAGGTGGAGGTTGCAGTGAGCCGAGCTCATGCCATTGCACTCCAGCCTGGGTGACGGAGCCAGACTCTGTTTCAAAAAAACAAAAAAATTCTATATATTTATGGTGTACATGATGTTTTGTTATAGGTATACACTGTGAGATTGCTAAACCAAGCTAATTACCATATTCATCACTTCACATATTTATATTTATGTGGTGAGAACATTTAAAATTTACTCTTTTAGCAACTTTCAAGTATACAATACGTTGATATTAATTATAGTCACCCTGTTGTACAATAAATCTTCGAGAATTAGTCCCTCTGTCTAACTGAAATTTTCTATCCTTCGACCAACATCTCTTTAATCCCCTACCTCACCCCAGTTGAATGCTGAGCAGATATCTAAATGATTGAAAAGAGCTGTAATTAATTCATCCCAGAAACAATGTTCTGAGGAAATGGAGCTCCAGACTCCCAGCACCTCCACATTCTTGTCTTTTTAGAGTCTGGACCTTCAGGCTTCCCTTGGATCAGGTGCATTCCTACATATTCTTTCTTTCCTTCTTTCTTTATTTTTTTCTGTTTTCCTTTTTTTTTTTTGAGACAGAGTCTCGCTCTGTCGCCCAGGCTGGAGTGCAGTGGTGCAATCTCCGCACACTGAAAGCTCCACCTCCCGGGTTCACGCCATTCCCCTGCCTCAGCCTCCCGAATAGCTGGGACTACAGGCGCCCGCCACCACGCCCGGGTAATTTTTTGTATTTTTAGTAGAGACGGGGTTTCATCCTGTTAGCCAGGATGGTCTTGGTCTCCTGACCTTGTGATCCGCCCGCCTCGGCCTCCCAAAGTGCTGAGATTACGTGAGCCACCGCGCCCGGCCTTTTTATTTTTCTTTCTTTTTTGAGATGGAGTTTCCATCTTGTCACCCAGGCTGGTGTGCGATGGTGCGATCTCGGCTCACGGCAACCTCCGCCTCCCGGGTTCAAGCGATTCTCCTGCCTCAGCCTCCGGAGTAGCTGTGATTACAAGCATGCACCACCACGTCCTGCTAATTTTGCATTTTTAGTAGAGATGGGGTTTCTCCATGTTGGTCAGGCTGGTTTTTTGTTTTTTGTTTTTTTTGTTTGGCAGAGTCTCGCTCTGTCGCCCAGGCTGGAGTGCAGTGGCGCTATCTCAGCTCACTGCAAGCTCAGCCTCCTGGGTTCATGCCATTCTCCTGCCTCAGCCTCCCGAGTAGCTGGGACTACAGGCACCCGCCACCATGCCTGGCTAATTTTTTTGTATTTTTTTAGTAGAGACAGGGTTTCACCGTGTTAGCGAGGATGGTCTTGATCTCCTGACCTCGTGATCCACCCACCTCGGCCTCCTAAAGTGCTGGGATTACAGGCGTGAGCCACCATGCCTGGCGATATTCTTTCAATAAATCCCTTTTTTGGTTTCCAACCATAGCAGGTTTCTGTTGCTTACAACCAGTGATATACTATCACACTTATCCGCCCAACTAGACTCTGAGCACTTTGAGGGCAGGTACTCTATCCTTTTGCTTTGGTGTTCTTTGACCCCTCAGCCTGGCTGCTTTCCTTTCCAGGCCACAAAGGCAGCCCCAACTGTGCAGAAGCACTGAGAATACAACACAAGTAGGTGACAAGAACCTTGCCCTAGAGAATCTGCCATCTAGATAAGGTAGCAAGATTGGCATTTACTAAATGACTGTGGCTAGTACAAAGCAGAATGTGATTCAGTATCGAAATTGGAGGCTCACTAATAAGGTCACTGTGGGGTCCAGAAGTAGAAAGATCAGGATGGGTTCCCTAGGACATTCTCTAGTGGAGTTTCTTAGAGAAGCTGTGAGGACCTGGGTGAGAAGAGGCAGATGATCTGCAGGGAGTAGCGGGGCTGCAATCAGTCTCCCTATACCATACTTTCAAAAAGTCAACTTTTTAAAGTTAATGTGTTGGCCGGGCGCGGTGACTCATGCCTGTAATCCCAGCACTTTGGGAGGCCGAGGCGGGTGGATCACCTGAGGTCCGGAGTTTGAGACCAGCCTGGCCAACATGGTGAAACCCCATCTCTACTAAAAATACAAAAACTAGCCAGGTGTGGTGGCACGTGCCTGTAACCCCAGCTACTCAGGAGGCTGAGGCAGGAGAATCACTTGAACCAGCGTGGGAGAGGTTGCAGTGAGCCGACATTCTGCCATTGCACTCCAGTCTGGGCAACAAGAGCAAAACTCCGTCTCAAAAAAAAAAAAAAATTATTGTCCCATCTCTCCCACTAAGTGCTTCATCTGCTATCTTAACCAATAACGTGACTCACAGATTTGTTAGACTCTTTTTCGTTTTCTTTTTTTGGAGACGGGGTCTTGTTCTGGTGCACAGGCTGGAGTGCAGTGGCACGATCTCGGCTCACTGCAACCTTTGCCTCTGGGGGAGCGGGGACTATAGGCGCGTGCCACCACGCCCGGCTATTTTTTTTGTATTTCAGTAGAGATGAGGTTTCACCATGTTGCCCAGGCTGGTCTCCAATTCCTGAGCTCAGGCAATCTGCCTGCCTCGGCCTTCCGAAGTGCTGGCATTACAGGCGTGAGCCACCACCCCTGACCATTTTTTTCCTTTTCATTTTACTCACCAATAAAAGAAGAAAGCCCAAGACATAGAGAAGGAAGAAAATAGGTACCCTGCCATGACCCTCAAGTTAGCTAATAAACTCCTATTAAAACAAAAACTAACAAACTACATAATACATAAAAGACAACTAGCTTTGCTTTTGACAGACAAACTATGTTTCGTACTGAGCTCAGTACACAGCATTTAAAAATTAACAGAACTATAAAAGTAGGGAAATCAGTACCTAACCTGTAGCCTGAGGCTGCAGGTCTTGAAGGTCAGAAAACATTATATGTGATTTAATCACATTTAAGGCTGAAGCTGATGGCACCGGCCAGCTATGTTAGACAGTGTTTGAAACTATGAAAAAGAAGGGCAGAATTCTAGGAGCTAGTATTTTCCTGTGTCCTTGGTAGGCAGGACTGCAGGGAAGTTGCTCAGTAAGAAAACAAGAAAGAGGCCTGCAGTTTGGAAGGAAAAACTGCAATGTTAGGTAGGAATTACAGCTAAGTTTTACTGCTATATAGAAATTTAGCAGGGCTGTAATTTTAACCCCCTCTTCACCAAGAGCCTCCAGTGTAGTCTGTTTATGCACATAAATAATAAGGAGAAAAGGAATTGCTTTAGCACAGTTAACTTTATACCTAACTATTAATATTATATAAAATAAAGCATAGGAAAGAAAGTTCCTTTAAGTAGCACTTTAACTCTTCTTTCTTCTCAACCTCCCTGTTCAGTTTGTTCAAATCTTTAGTTGTAAATGTTACAGGTACTGACCATGGGAACCGTTCTTGCAAACTGGTTCCATGGCTGAATAAAAATACTGTGGCTGGGCCGGGCGCGGTGGCTCACACCTGTAATCCCAGCACTTTGGGAGGCCGAGGTGGGCGGATCACGAGGTCAGCAGATCGAGACCATCCTGGCTAACACAGTGAAACCCCGTCTCTACTAAAAATACAAAAACAAAATTAGCTGGGCATGGTGGTGGGCGCCTGTAGTCCCAGCTACTCGGGAGGCTGAGGCAGGAGAATTGTGTGAACCCGGGAGGCGGAGCTTGCAGTGAGCCGAGATCGCGCCACTGCACTCCAGCCTGGGCGACAGAGCGAGACTCTGTCTCAAAACAAAACAAAACAAAACAAAAAATACTGTGGCTGGCCAGGCACGGTGGCTCATGCCTGTAATCCCATTACTTTCGGAGGCCGAGGTGGGCAGATCACGAGGTCAGGAGATCAAGAGCATCCTGGCCAACATGGTGAAACCATGTCTCTACTAAAAATACAAAAATTAGCTGGGTGTGGTGGTGCATGCCAATAGTCCCAGCTACTCAAAAGGCTGAGGCAGGAGAATTGCTTGAACCCAGGAGGTGGAGGTTGCAGTGAGCAGAGATTGCGCCACTGTACTCCAGCCTGGCGGCAGAGTGAGACTCTGTCTCAAAAACAAAACAACAATAACAACAAACAACAAAAACAAAAAACCATGGCCTCCAAAAAGGAAGCAGAAGAGAGGTCTGGAGATGAGAAAGTCCTGTTGGGTCTTGGTTTCCAAGAGCAGGGGTAGGTTTTTAAAAACCAGAGGAGGAAGAATAGAAGTGTTGGTGTGTGGCTGAGCAGCCCCTCTTTCCCTTGATGAAGAATCAAGAGGACTAATGTCCTAAGCCTGGGAGAGTGAAGAAAAAAAAAAAGGAACGACGTGGGTTAATGGATGTGCTAACTAACTTGATCATGGTAATCATTTCACAATGTGTATGTCTATCAAATCATCATGTTGTACACTTTAGATTATATATTTGTCAGTTATATCTCAATAAAGCTGAAAACAACAACAACAACAAAAACAGCCCAAGGCTGGGTGCGGTGGCTCATGCCTGTAATCCCAGCATTTTGGGAGGTTAAGGCAGGCATATTGCTTGAGCCCAGGAGTTCAAGACCAGCCTTGACAACATAGGGAGACCACATTTCCTCAAAAAATAAGGAAAGTAGCCAGGCGTGGTGGCCTGTGTCTGTAGTTCCGGCTACTCAGGAGGCTGAGGTGGGAGGATCTTGAGCCCAGGAGTTCGAGGCTGCAGTGAGCCATGATTGTGCTACTGCACTTCGGCCTGGGCAACAGAGCTAAGGATGGAGGTAGATCTCTTAGGTTCTGGAAGGAGACCACACTTTCATGACTAGGAAGAACCTAGGGTCATTCCAAAGCCTTAAATTTGGGGGAATTTAGCTCTCCTGTGTAACTGGACAATTGGACATTTGCAGTGCTATTTTGTGAGCATGAGTGCATTCTATGAACCAGGCATATACAAATGGTGACTGGCCTTCCTGATCATTCTTCAAGTGGCAACTGGACTCTCTAGGGAGATAATTTTCCCAGGATCAACACAGAGGGTCAAATCAAGCAAACCAAATAGAGCATTTCCCCCCAAGGTGACGTAGACATATGAGGAAGGTCCATCTGTGACACTAGAAGACATATGTGCCACAACTGCTTTGTATGAAACCGTATCTGCTTTTTTCACTAATTGTGGTAAAATACACACAACATAAAATTTACCATCTTCACCATTTTTAAGTGTACACTTCAGTGGCATGAAGTACATTCACACTGTTGTGCCACTGCGTATCCGCTTGGTTTTTTGTTTTTGTTTTTGTTTTTGTTTTTGTTTTGAGACAGAGTCTTGCTCTGCTGTCCAGGTGGAGTGCAGCGGTGTGATCATTATGGGAGGGAGAGGGAAAGAGAGCAAAGAACAGAGGTGGAATGGTGGAACCCAGGTGATGTTTCTGCAGTTTAGCTTTGAGAGAGATGAAGCCGAGTTAAGACAAGAGGGTTGATTCAAAACAAAATCAGGGTGGAAGTGATTCCTCTCTGCGGAAGAGGGGCTTTTTATAAGACAACCGGAAGGCAAGTTGTCGGTGTCTTGCTGGTACTGCTTCAACGGAGCACATGGAGATTGTTCCTGTGGAGCACATAGACCAGAGAAGAGGGCTGCGGGAGCTCCACGGGAGGCAGGGGCTCCGTTGGCTGAGCTGCCCGGGGAGCTTGAAATGCAATTATTATGCAAAGAAAATATTTGTTGTAAATGGAAATTTTTTGTAAAAAATTCACTAAAAGCAGTATGTAGTTTATCTAATTAGGTAATAAAAAATTTCTAAAGGTATACACCCGCTTTGAAAAGCTCTACAAATATTTTTCCTCGTCCCCTTTCTGTAAGATTGTCAGTAATGTTATTCTATTTTAAGATCATAAATATCCAAACTGAAGTGACTTCCTGTTTCTGGTATCAAACTAGCTTTCAAACTAGTCACCAAAATTCCTTCCTTGTATTTTAAAAGATAGCAGGATAGGAAATTTCCAAAGTAGCTTTGAATGATTCAACTTACCTTTGGTGCCCAGGCTTGGTGGCTCAAGCTAGAAATCCCAGTGATTTGGGAGGCCGAGGCAGGCAGATCACTTGAGCCCAGGAATTTGAGACCAGCCTGGGCAACATGGCGAAACCTCATGTCGATAAAAAAATAATAATAATAGGTCGGGCACGGTGGCTCACGCCTGTAATCCCAGCACTTTGGGAGGCCGAGGCGGGTGGATCATGAGGTCAGGAGATAGAGACCAACCTGGCTAACACAGTGAAACCCCGCCTCTACTAAAAATACAAAAAAAATTAGCCAGGTGTGGTGGCTGCCGCCTGTAGTCCCAGCTACTCGGGAGGCTGAGGCAGGAGAATGGCGTGAACCCAGGAGGCAGAGCTTGCAGTGAGCCGAGATTGCGCCACTGCACTCCAGCCTGGGGGACAGAGCGAAACTCCATCTCAAAAAAAACAAATAATAATAATAATAATAAAGCTTTTTTTGTTTTGTATTTTTTTTGAGATGGAGTCTTGCTCTGTCACCCAGGCTGGAGTGCAGTAGTGTGATCTTGGCTCATTGCAATCTCCACCTCCCGGATCCATGCCATTCTCCTGCCTCAGCCTCCCGAGTAGCTGGGACTACAGGCGCCCGCCACCACGCCCGGCTAATTTTTTGTATTTTTAGTAGAGACGGGGCTTCACCGTGTTAGCCAGGATGGTCTCGATCTCCTGACCTCATGATCCGCCCGCCTCGGCCTCCCAAAGTGCTGGGTTTACAAGCATGAGCCACCGCGTCTAGCCGTTTTTTTTTTTTTTAAAGGAAAAGAACAAATTACCTTTGGTTAAAGCATTTTTATACCTATGATTTACTATTTATGATTGACCATTGGCTGTTTCAAAAGCAAAAAAAAAAAAAAAATCCACACAACAGGACTTCATTTAAAAAAAAAAAAAAAGTAGAGATAGGTCTCACTGTGTTGCCCACGCTGGATTCAAACTGCTGGGCTCAAATGATCCCCCTGCCTCAGCCCTCAAGTAGCCCAGACTAAAGGTATGTACCACCGCACCCAGCAGGGCTTCAATCTTTACTCTGATACTTTAATCCTTCCATGATTGGATTTCACCATGAAACTCTTCCTTTGAGTTGGCTGTCTTTTGTATTCTGTGAAGTGGCACATTTTTTAAAATGTTTCTCTATCCAGAGAGCTAGGAAAAAGGTTCTGGACAACTCCTGATGGTGGGGCTAAACATTTGGAAAGACAATTATTCTTCCAATCTGTTAAATTCCAGCATATTTCTTTAAAACTTTATTAAAACAAACCTCTCCAGCTCATTCAAATGAAATTATAACTTTTAAAAATAGCTTTTATAGAGAAAATGCTCATGAAAATAAAGACCAAACAGGCCGGGCGCCGTGGCTCACGCCTGTAATCCCAACACTTTGGGATGCCAAGGCGGGCAGATCACCTGAGATCCGGAGTTTGAGACCAGCTGCACCAACATGGAGAAATCCCATCTCTACTAAAAATACAAAATTAGCCGGGCGTGGTGGCGCATGCCTGTAATCCCAGCTACTCAGGAGGCTGAGG
This sequence comes from Homo sapiens, assembly GCF_000001405.40. Taxonomy (NCBI): domain Eukaryota; kingdom Metazoa; phylum Chordata; class Mammalia; order Primates; family Hominidae; genus Homo; species Homo sapiens. The sequence goes on along the minus strand of NC_000015.10, from coordinate 92,851,441 downwards.
CAGGAGAATGGCTCGAACACGGGAGGCAGAGGTTGCTGTGAGCCGAGATCGCGCCATTGTACTCCAGCCTGGGCAACAAGAGCGAAACTCCGTCTCAAAAATAAATAAATAAATTAATTAATTAATTAAATAAAGACCAAACAAACGTAGTTTTGCCTAGGGATGAGTTAGGGGGAAATTTGAATGTTGGATTACTGCTTCTTTTACAAAGGCCTCTGAAACTTCTGAGTAGTCCTAGATTGTGATTCTAAATCAGCAATTCTCAATCTTTCTAAGGGTAATATAATCACCTTCACTTGTTATACAGACAAATGGAAGATAAAAGACATCTTCCAGGCCAGGCACGGTGGCTCACGCCTGTCATCCCAGCACTTTGGGAGGCTGAGGTGGGTGGATCACGAGGTCAGCAGTTCGAGACCAGCCTGGCCAACATAGTGAAACCTCCTCTCTACTAAAAATACAAAAATTAGCCGGGCATGGTGGCGCACGCCTGTAGTCCCAGCTACTGGGAAGGCTGAGGCGGGAGAATCGCTTGAACCCGGGAGGCAGAGTTTGCGGTAAGCCAAGATCACACCACTGCACTCCAGCCTGGATGACAGAGCCAGACTCCATCTCAAAAAAAAAAAAAAAAAAAAAAAAATGCATCTTCAAACCATCTCATTAAGGAACCTGTTGTTTCTTTACATGATAACTACATAAAAACTTCTGTTTATTCATTAGCAAAGCGAAAAAAAAATTATTACTTAAAAATCAGAAGTTGAATCAATTTCCAAAACCTTTTCCTTAGTTTGAAAAAAAAAGCTAATATACGCTTCTGAGAGGTGAAGCCAGCTGGACTTCCTGGGTGGAGGAAGGACTTGGAGAACTTTTCTATGTAGCTAGAGGATTGTAAACACACCAATCAGCACTCTGTGTCTAGCTAAAGATTTGTAAATGCACCAATCAGCACTCTGTAAAAATGCACCAATCAGCACTCTGTAAAATGGACCAATCAGCTCTCTGTAAAATGGACCAATCAGCAGGATGTGGGCAGGGCCAAATAAGGGAATAAAAGCTGGCCACACGGGCCAACAGCGGCATCGGCCTGGATGCCTGTGCAGGCTGTGGAAGGTTGGTTTTTTCCTTCTTCACAGTAAATCTTAACACTGTTCAGTGTTTGGGTCTGCACTACCTTTATGAGCTGTGATACTCACTGTGGAGGTCTGCAGCTTCACTCCTGAAGTTAGCCAGACCATGAACCCACCGGGAGGAACTAACAACTCCAGACGTGCCACCTCTAAGAGCCTTAACACTTATTGGGAAGGTCTGCGGCTTCACTCCTAAAGTCAGGAAGACCATGAACTCACCAGAAGGAAGAAATTCTGGACACATCTGAAGGAACAAATTCCGGACACACCATTTTTTTTTTTTTTTTTGAGGCGGAGTCTCACTCTGTCACCCAGGCTGTGGTGCAGTGGCGTGATCTCAGATCACTGCAACCTCTGCCTCTGGGACTCAAGCAATTCTCCTGCTTCAGCCTCCTGAGTAGCTGGAATTACAGGCATGTACCACCATGCCCGGCTAATTTTTTTGTATTTTTAGTAGAGACAGGGTTTCACCATATTGGCCAGGCTGGTCTCGAACTTCTGACCTTGTGATCACCCACCTCGACCTCCCAAAGTGCTGGGATTACAGGCATGAGCCACCGCGCCCGGCCGTGGACACACCATCTTTAAGTACTGTAACACCGCGAGGGTCCACGGCTTCATTCTTGAAGTAAGCAAGAACCCACTGGAAGGAACAAATTCCGGACACGCTTTCATGTCATATTAGTTTCCTAGGGTAATTGTAACAGTGTACCACAGGCAGTGGTTTAACAAGGGAAATGTATTGTCTTGAAGTTCTGAAGATCAGAAGTCTGTGACTAAGGTGTAGGCAGGGTTGGTTCCTTCTGAGGCTGTGAGGAAGAGTCGTTTGCATGCCTCTTCCCCTAGCTTCTGGTGGTTTTTTTTTTTTTTTTTTTGAGACAGTCTCACTCTGTCACCCAGACTGGAGTGCAGTGGTGCGATCTCAGCTCACTGCAACCTGTACCTCCCCGGTTCAAGCTAGTCTCCTGCCTCAGCCTCCGGAGTAGCTGGGATTACAGGCTCCCACCACCACGCCGGGCTGATTTTTGTATTTTTAGTAGGGATGGGTTATCACCATGTTGGCCAGCCTGGTCTCGAACTTCTGAGCTCAGGTGATCTGCCTGCCTTGGCCTCCCAAAGTGCTGGGATTACAGGCCCGAGCAACTGTGCCTGGCTGCCTCTGGTGGTTTGCTATCTTTGGTGTTCCTTGATTTGTAGAAGCGTCACCCCTATCTCCGCCTTCCTCTTTACAAAGCATTATCTCTGTGAGCAGTGTTTATGTCTGAATTTCCACTTTTGATAAGGACCCCAGTTATGTCGGAGTAGGTGCCCACCCTACTCCAGTATGACCTCATCTTAACTAACCACATTTGCAGTTTCCAAATATTTCCAAAGAAGGTCACATTCTGAGGTCACTGGGAGTTTGGATTTCAACATACGAATTTCAGGGGGAGGGTGGCAGGGATACGGTTTAACCCAAAACATCTGTGAATACATTTTTCTTAGCAGATAACTGTAATGCATTGTCCAAATGAAAGACCTACACTCTGTGGACCTCAGATGACGCGTTACGTAGGAAAGGTAATTGTGACTACTCTCATTCCCACAACAGTGGGTGTCTAGGAGCCCAAGAACTGACCTGTCTTATTGAATAGGCTGAGAGGAAAGCACGTCCAACTTTACTTCTGCCCAGAAAAGTACCTGGAAGCAGGAGTGTCCCCTCCCGCTACCACCAATGCCAGTGGAGTAGAGTGCTTTGTTTCACTCAACTGTCACACTTCCGTGTAAGCTGCACTTTATTACCAGCATGGCAGTGGTTACCCAAGTGGTTCCATCCCCATTGCTCTGATCACATGGCTTCCACCGCCCACCCTCCCAGTACCTGGGCAGTTGTCATTGCAGGTTCTCATATCTAGCTTGATGGTATTCTTCCTCTGCTTCAGTGGCATCCTGGCCCATGAATGCCTCCAGCCCTCCTTTTCCAAGGTCCTGCCTTGTTCTCCGAAGATTAAAAAAAGGGGCAAAAATGATGTTTTAGCTCAGGCCTCCATAATGCCTCCAGACAATGGGTGCTTTTAAGTACGTATTCAGCAGTTCCTCTTATCTTAGATCCTATTAGATCTGAAATGCTCCCATAAACATAGTGTCAAAGCTCTACAAAATGCATTTCTAATTCCTAGAATGAAATTAACTGAAATCCAACTTTTGGAGCAGCGCGTTCCTGTAGCCAATGAACTAGCCACAGAAATGTTCCAGCAGTGACTGCCCACGAATGTTGTCAGCATCTTACAATGTATTTAACAAAACCCAGTAGACGGCATACGCAGAAGCTTTCAGGGTCATGGGAGCATGGGCTGAGAGGGGCCTTTAAAAGAGAAGAAGACTAGGTGCCTTCTTGAATGTGTAATATGAGAAAGAAAATCCAGTGAGATGATTAGGTGAAGGTTAGTTTCATGTCTCAACTTGGCTAGGCTATGGTGCCCAATAGTTTATCAAACACTAGTCTAGATGTTACTGTGAAGGTATTTTGTAGATGTAATTAACATTCACAGTCAGTTCACTTTAAGTAAAGTCAATAATATCTCATCAAATCAGTTGAAGGCCTTGAGAGCAAAAACTGAGGTTTCCTGGAAGAGGAAGAATTCTGCTTCAGGACTAACACAGAAATTGTGCCTCAGTTTCCAACATGCAGGCCCACCCTGTGCATTTTGAACTTGCCTGCTCCCACAATCATGTGAACCAATTTTTTAAGATAACCTCCCTTCTCTAGGTAGATTGATTGACATAAGCAATGCTTTAAATATATATGAAACAGATATATATATGTGTGTTGGTGGGGGGTGTATTTTATTGGTTCTGTTTCTCTAAAGAACCCTGACTAACAGTCAGATTCGCTCTTTTTTTTTTTTCCATAGAGAAAGGGTCTCAAGTTTCTGGGCTCAAGTCTTCCTCCTAGCTGGGCCTCCCAAACTGCTAGGATTTGCAGGCATGAGCCACCTGACCCAGCCAGATCCATTCTTAACGGTGGTCAAAAGAACAGGATCAGTTGTTTGAATAAGGGATTAGCAATGAATTAATTGAGAGGCTAGAAAAAAAATCTTTAGCAATTTTTTACTCTGAGTAGTAGAGAGAGAAAGAGAATGGCACTTGGTAACTCCAAATGGTATGCATCTGCTTGGAAGTTGTATCAATAAGGCAAAATCCTAAGAAGGATGTCTAAGATGCTTCTGAAGTCGACATAGGACAGATCCAAGGATAGAATAAATTCTCAACCTACTTCTACAAATAAATGCTTAGAAAATTCCCCTGTTGACAGGCTATAAACATAAGGTGGACTTTCCTCCCATCTCTACATAGTTCTTGAAAAGATGCAATAAGTAGGTTATTCTAGCCTCAAAGGCAATGAAATGAATTATGGATGACTCAGTGGATAGAACTGAACAGAAAAAAATGTAAATCTTTCAATGGCTGTTTGGAGCTATGTTTTAAAAGAAAAAAAAATAAATCTTCTGGGCCAAAAATAAGCTAATTAAATCAAAACTCAAAGGACAAGCAATAGACCAGGGGAACTATTTATTGTTAATATGAAACAGAATTAATAGTTTTTACATCTGAAGAGATCATAATGTTCAGTAAGAAAAACCCCAATAGATAACTGCAAAGATTTCTACCAGACAATTCTCAAAAACAAGTTATATAAATGGATGGAATACATTTGAAAAAAAGTTCAGAGAAATGCAAAATGCCCCTTTAATGCATATATATCCACCCATAACCTTAATAGTTAAATTGATTTAAAGATACCTTAGGCTGTGCGCTTTGGCTCACGCCTGTAATCCCAGCATTTTGGGAGGCCAAAGTGGGTGAATCACTTGAGGTCAGGAGTTCAAGACCAGCCTGGCCAATATGGTGAAACCTCGTCTCTACTAAAAATACAAACATTAGTTGGACGTGGTGGCAGGCGCCTGTAATCTCAGGTACTCAAGAGGCTGAGGCAGGACAATGGCTTGAACCCAGGAGACAGAGGTTGCAGTGAGCCAAGATCGTACCACTGCACTCCAGCCTGAATGACAGAGCAAGACTCCATCTCAAAAAAGGAACAAAAAACCTGATTTAAAGACCACTTAATAGCCATATGCAGTGGTACATGCCTGTAGTCCCAGCTACTCTGGAGGCTGAGGCATGAGGATCTCTTGGGGTCAGGAGTTCTTGGCAGAAATGAGCTATGATCCCAACCTGTGAATAGCCACTGCACTCCAGCCTGGGCAACATAAGGAGTACATTAAAAGGAAAAAAATTACCGGGCGCGGTGGCTCACATCTGTAATCCCAGCACTTTGAAAGTCCGAGGCAGGCTGATCACGAGGTCAAGAGATTGAGACCATCCTGGCCAACATGGTGAAACCCTATCTCTACTAAAAATACAAAAATTAGCTGGGTGTGGTGGTGCACCCCTGTAGTCCCAGCTACTCAGGAGGCTAAGGCAGGAGAATCGCTTGAACCCAGGAGGTGGAGGTTGCAGTGAGCTGAGATCACGCCACTGCACTCCAGCCTGGTGACGGAGCGAGACTCTGTTTAAAAAAAAAAAATAGATCCCTTAATATAAAGTAAGGAAACATACAGATAACTTCAAGGTTTTAATTCTCAAGAAAACAAAAGTTTTAATATGTGATCTATTTTGTGCACTTGTAAATGATTAGATTTGTTTTAATGTACTTTATGAGGCTTTTGTAATCTACAGCAATTCATCATCAAACACAGTTTTTTTTAATTCTCCTCTACATGAAAAACAGGCAACAAAGTTGTAATAATAATAAGTTGCATTTACCAGTGAATGTATCTCTTTTCTATGGTTTAATAATGAATGACAACATCAGTTGAAACAGGCATCTGGTTTAATATACTGATTCCCTTTACCAACCCCTCCCCTCTGACTGGTAGTCATTTACTTTCAAAATATCATTTCCCACTAAAGAAACTAGCTGGCAAACTACCAAGAGGAAGTGTATCTCACTAAATGAAGTTCCTGAATTGCTGCTTTTGTTTCTTGTTTCTTTTTGCTCTGCCAGCAACTTCAGACTATAAGAAAGTGCATTCTCTGCACTGCATAGCATAAAACAGTTCAGAACTGTTCCAAAAGGTACAGCCACTGTTAGATACAAAGTACAAAGCAGGAGTAAGGGGAGAGGTTGAGGAAAGAATGAGGGAAATTTGAAGAAAGGGTCTGTTTTTGTTGTTGAAATTCACAGGAATTAGTTTGATGTTCAGTGAAGTACCAGGTACTACTGGAGAAAGGCTGGTGCGTTATGAAAACAAAGAATTGAAGGCAGAAGTATAAATAAGGTCTATGAATGAAGGAATGAAAAGGACCAGGTTCCGTGAAAACATAGTGAGCAATCAAAGATGTCCCAATCAGGTGAAGGGGACTTTGCTGTGAAATTCCTTAATGAAAGGAATCCCACAGACTTGCTGGAAAGAAGTGAGGCTAGGCTGGGCGCGGTGGCTCGCTCCTGTAATACCAGCACTTTGGGAGGCCGAGGCAGGTGGATCACTTTCATTCAGGAGTTTGACACCAGCCTGGCCAACATGGTGAAACCCTATCTCTATTAAAAATACAAAAATTAGTCCAGTGTGGTGGTGCATGCGTGTAATTCCAGCTACTTGGGAGGCTGAGGCAGGAGAATCACTTGAACCCGGGAGGTGGAGTTTGGGAGGCTGAGGCAGGAGAATCACTTGAACCCGGGAGGCGGAGTTTGCAGTGAGCCAAGATTGCACCACTGGACTCCAGCCTGGGCGACAGAGCAAGACTCCATTCTGGAAAAAAAAAAAAAAAGGCCAGGCCTGGTGGCTCACGCCTGTAATCCCAGCACTTTGGGAGGCCGAAGCAGGCGGATCACGAGGTCAGGAGATCAAGACCATCCTGGCTAACACGGTGAAACCCCGTCTCTACTAAAAAAAAAATACAAAAAAATTAGCCAGGCGTGGTGGCAGGCGCCTGTAGTCCCAGCTACTCTGGAGGCTGAGGCAGGAGAATGGTGTGAACCCGGGAGGCGGAGCTTGCAGTGAGCCGAGATCGCGCCACTGCACTCCAGCCTGGACAACAGATTGAGACTCCATCTCAAAAAAAAAAAAAAAAAAAAAAGTGAGGCTAGCCGATGAGAAATTGAAAATATTATTAAACTAGAGAATCAAAGTTGAGGTGCTGGTAACAGGAGCATAGGTACGTATATAGATTCCAGTGTACCCGCTGACAAGCTGACACACCACCCATTGCCAATTGCCCGCCTAAGACAGGAGACTGGAAAAGACAGCTGATGAGATGGGGGGCGGGGGCGGGATGTGGCTTGTTGTTGAGGGAAGGCATAGAGTGTGCTGGGTTCCTGTGGCTTCAAAGGGCCTTGGTAAGAAGGACAAAGAGGAGAAGCGGGAGGGAAAAAAAAGGTAGGAAGGGAAAGGAAAAAGAAGAAAGATAAAATTCTCATTTCAGTCCCCAGTCTTTTTGGCACCAGGGACCAGTTTCATGGAAGACAATTTTTCCATGGGGACGGGATTCATTTGCTTTGAAATATCATTTGATTAAAAATATCAGCAACTCCCTATAGTGTAAATTTTTTCTTTTTTCTTCCTTTTTTTTGAATTGGGGTCTCACTCTGCTGCCCAGGTAAGAGGCAATATCGTCAGGATGAAATGCTTCCATTTCAGATCACATCATCAGGCGTTAGATTCTTCTCATAAAAAGCAGGCCACCTAGATCCCGCTCACATGCAGTTCACAATAGAGTTCATGCTCCTATGGGAATCTAATGCCGCGCTAATCGGACAGGAGGCAGAGCTTAGGCGGTAATGCTCACTCACTGCTGCTCACCTCCTGCTGTGCAGCCTGGTTCCTAACAGGCCACAGACCAGCACCCGTCCATGGCCTGGGAGTTGGGGACCCTGTCAAAGAGTTTACAAAAAAGAAAATGGAAAGGCAGGAGCTAACATCTATAGATATCATCTCATTTCCTCCACTCTAAAACCCCAAAGTAGGCCGGGTCCACTGGCTCACACCTGTAATCTCAGCACTTTGGGAGGCCAAGGCAGATGGATCACCTGAGGTCAGGAGTTCGAGACCAGCCTGACCAATACGGTAAAATCCCATCTCTACTAAAAATACAAAAATTAGCTGGGTGTGATTGCGTGTGCCTGTAATCGCAACTACTTGGGAGGCTGAGGCAGAGAATCACTTGAACCTGGGAGGCGGAGGTAGCAGTGAGCCGAGATCACCCCACTGCACTCCAGCCTGGGTGACAGAGCGAGACTCCATCTCAAATAAATAAATAAATAAATAAAACCCCGAAGTGGCATTTTTATCTCCACTTTACAGGCGAAAGAGGCACACCACCACACAGGTACGACAGAAAGAGCCAGACTAGAACTCCTGTCTACCTGAGCACAGTAATTCTCCCTGCTTTCCATGCAGCCTATGAAAAAGGTCAACAGTCACAAAGAGGACAATGGCTTGTTATGGTCCCGTCAATTGGCATCAATGTGTGAAGGGAAATCAGCATGTGGACATTACTTGCAGAATTGTTGCTGTAACAAGTTAAAATTCACCTCTGGGAAAGAGATAATGAAGAGTAGGAAAAAGTTTTGTTTTTTGTTTTTTTTTTTTTTGAGACAGAGTCTCGCTCTGTCGCCCAGGCTGGAGTGCAGTTGCACGATCTTGGCTCACGGCAAGCTCCGCCTCCCGGGTTCACACCATTCTCCTGCCTCAGCCTCCCGAGTAGCTGGGACTACAGGCACCTGCCACCGCGTCCGGCTGATTTTTTCTATTTTTTAGTAGAGACAGGGTTTCACTGTGTTAGCCAGGATGGTCTGGATCTCCTGATCTTGTGATCCACCTGCCTTGGCCTCCCAAAGTGCTGGGATTACAGGCGTGAGCCACCGCATCTGGCCAGGAAAAAGCTTTTAACTTCTTTACATCGATCCTGAACACATAGGAGTGGAAATTACAACTGGTCATAACAACACACTGAAAGACTTGGCCTTAAAAAAACAAAAAACAAACAAACAAACAAAAAACGGGGGGATTAGTTTATCCTGGAAATGAAAAGCTGAAAGGAGATGTAGTACTCTGTGATACAAAAATTAGACTATAGGGAGGCTGGGCGCAGTGGCTCATACCTGTAATCCCAACACTTTGGGAAGTCGAGACAGGCAGATCACTTGAGCCCAGGAGTTTGAGACCAGCCTGGGCAACGTGGGGAGACCCCATCTCTAATAATATACAAAAACTGGCCGGGCACAATGGCTCACGCCTGTAATCCCAGCATTTTGGGAGGTTGAGGCGGGTGGATCACCTGAGGTCGGGAGTTCGAGACCAGCCTGACCAACATGGAGAAACCCCCGTCTCTACTGAAAATGCAAAATTAGCCGGGCGTGGTGGCGCACGCCTGCAACCACAGCTACTCAGGAGGGTGAGGCAGGAGAATCACTTGAATCTGGGAGGCAGAGGTTGCAGTGAGCCAAGATGACGCCACTGCACTCCAGCCTGGGTGACAAGAGCGAAAATCGGTCTCCAGAAAAAAAAAATGTTGCAAAGTGCTTGTAGATACATGATCTTACTTTTTTCTATGTGTCTTCTTCATTGCAATGGAGGATAACGACACAGGGTTATTATTTTATAAATTTTTAAAGGGAAGTCAATCACAAAAGGAGGAAAACAACTGCGAAAAGCATGCCATGACAACCAGTCCTTCAAGAGGTTTTATCAAAGGCAAGGAGGGTGAGGAGGCTCCCAGCTCTGTTTTTTAGGGCAGTCTTTGGCTCCTGTGTTGTCCTTGTCATGATGGAGAAGTTCAGTGCCATACTGGAGGAAGCAGGAGCAGGGAGGGCTTGTCCTAGATGGTGGCATTAATAATCTGCATCCCCATTGTTTGATCACAAAAAAATACAGTAAGTTCAATGTTGCTCTAATATAAACAAGGTCAGAACACAAAGGCCAACTCACTTGTAATTTGTTTGTTAAACCTGACATTAGTATGGAGCAGGATTAAGGTTTTTTTCACCGTGGTTATCCCATCAGAGAAAAGCCTCTACTGAACTAATGATTAGAGAAAAGAGGCTGAAGAATAGAACAAGTACTTGATGAGGTCTTCGACATTCGTTCATGCATCAACAACCATTTTTTAGGGCCTGGTGGATAACTGCACTTTTTTTTTTTTTTTTTTTGAGATGGAGTCTCACTCTGTTGCCCTGGCTGGAGTGCAGTGGCACGATCTCAGCTCACTGCAACTTCTACCTCACGGGTTCAAGCGATTCTCCTGCCTCAGCCTCCTGAGTAGCTGGGACTACAGACACGTGTCACCACATCCAGCTAATTTTTGTGTTTTTAGTAGAGACTAGGTTTCACCATGTTGGCCAGGCTGATCTCGAACTCTGAGCTCAGGTAATCCACCTGCCTTGGCCTCCCAAAGTGCTGGGATTACAGGCGTGAGCCACCATGCCCAGTCGTGTTTGTTTGTTTGTTTGTTTTGAGACGGAGTCTCACTCTGTTACCCAGGCTGGAGTACGGTGGAGTGATCTCGGCTCACTGAAACCTCCGCCTCCCGGGTTTAAGTGATCCTCCTGCCTCAGCCTCCCAGTAGCTGGGATTACAGGCATGTACCAGCACGCTTGGCTAATTTTTGTATTTTTAGTACAGACAGGGTTTCACCATGTTGGCCAGGCTGGTCTCGAACTCCTGACCTCAGGTCATCTGCCCTCCTCAGCCTCCGAAAGTGTTGGGGTTACAAGCATGAGCCACTGCACCCAGCATAATTGCACTTTCATGTGAATTGTCTTACATCATTCTTGCAAGAACCCTCTGAGGCAGGCCTTGATTAGCCACATTTTGTAGGGTTAGTATCAGGCATGATGCTGAGGGCGGCACAGCATGTGGGCTCTGCAGCCAGAGGGGCTTGGCCTGACTTCACCATTACCAGCTGGGCCACCTGCACAAGGGACTTCGCCATCCTGAATTTCACTTTTTAAAATGAGGCCAATAGTAATGTCCACCTCCCAGGGCTGTTGTAAGGATGGAATGTGGTAAAACATGTTAGCCAGTTAGCCCAAGGCTTGGCAGGCAGCTTGCATTCAATACACATCACCCATTATGACTCAGATGCATTCGCCTCAGTTTACCTGTCCAACACCCCATGAAGTACATATTCTTACTATGCCCATTTTACGGGTGAGAGTACAGAAGCTTAGAGAGGTTAAATAACAGACGTGGAGATCAAGGCTGGCATCCGGTTTCAATTCCAGGTCTCCTCAGTTTTAGAGCTGGAACCCCTGGCTAGGAACCCTTCAAGTGACAACGTGTTCCACAAGGAGACCAGGTGCAGCTGCCTGGGGCTCTCCTGACTGCAGCTGGAGAGCTCGGCAGGAGGTGTAATCAGTGCTGGGAGCTGGCTGGGGCCACAGCAGCCTCCATAACCTTGTGACAGCTGCTGCCTGGGTACAAAACCGACACTCCAGCTCTTGATGAGCAGCTGTGCTAGTGGCTTCACCCACACTCATTTGCAAACTCCTTTCCTGTGTCTTCATACCCTTCCTTCCTTTCTTGGGCCCTCTCTACCTCTTCTCACCTCTCTTACCCTCTCTTTTCCTTCTGAAAGCCACATTTTCCCTTTCTGTTTACCTCTAACATCTCTCTAGCCTAATTTGGAATACAACAAAATTATTCATTCTGTTTATTTATTTACTATTATTATTTTTTGAGACGGAGTCTTGCTCTGTTGCCCAGGCTGGAGTGCAGTGGCACGATCTCAGCTCACTGCAATGTCTGCTTCCCAGATTCAAGTGATTCTCCTGCCTCAGCTTCCCTAGTAGCTGGGATTACAGGCACGTGCCACCATGCCCAGCTAATTTTTGTATTTTTAGTAAAGACAGGGTTTCATGTTGGCCAGGCTGGTCTCGAACTCCTAACCTCAGGTGATCCACCTGCCACGGCCTCCCAGATTGCTGGGATTACAGGCGTGAGCCACCACACTCGGCCATTCTGTGTTTATTAAACATGATGTTAAGTTTCCTTTTCTGAAGTTTTAAAAGCAATGAATATTCAAGGCAAACTTTCAAAAAGCCTCAACAATTAGTGGTTCAGTGAGATCCTGCCACTGCACTCCAACCTGGGTGACAGAGTGAGACCTTGTCTCAAAAAAAAAAAAAAAAAAAAAAAGAAAAGCCAGGCACTGCAGTGGCTCATGCCTGTAATCCCAGCACTTTGGGAGGCTGAGGCGGGTGGATCAGGAGGTCAGGAGTTTGAGACCAGCCTGACCAACATGGTGAAACCCCGTCTCTACTAATAATACAAAAATTAGCTGTGCGTGGTAGCGCGTGCCTGTAATCCCAGCTACTCAGGAGGCTGAGACAGAACTGCTTGAACCCAGGAGGCAGAGGTTGCAGTGAGCCGAGATCGCCCCACTGCACTCCAGCCTGGGTGACAGAGTGAGACTCCATCTCAAAAAAAAAAAAAAAATCGGTGGCTTAGGTAGATGGAAGGTAATGTTATAAAGAAAGCAAGTCTAGCAAAATGTTCATTGTAGAACTGAAGTGGTGGATGGATGGGTATTCACTGCATATTTTTTTCAACTTTTCTGTTTGTTGGGACATTTTCACAATTAAATGTGTGGTGGTGGGAATCAATGGCTCTATATCTATCATTTTCAATTTAGTTTTGTTGTTGGAAGGTTGGGACAGTGGCCTCAAAATAAAAAACGTTTCTTCTCCATCCTGTCAGAGCATTTGGGGCTGGGGGCTTCTCAGTGTTCTCCTTTGGCAGGAAAACACTGAAGGGTTTACCCAGGGCTGGCACTCAAGCAAGGCATCTTTAGACAAAGCCAGGCAGAAGCAGGCACTCAGCTGGCTTTTCTGGGAGGGACCCTGAGCCTCATCAGAAACTTTGATCTCAGGGAAGAGAACGTGAGAACTGAGATGAATTAAGTTGCCCAGGTTGTTTCACAAGAGAAACAGCCGTAGGTGGGTAACATTCAGGCAACTCCATCCCGGTCATTCTTCATCTGTTGGTCCACATTGCTCTAAACCGTAAAGCAGTGCTTCCAGCTGTGTGAGTAACAGAACTGGCCTGGTCCCTGGGACTGAAGGCCCCGCTGGAAAAGATGACCGTGGCATATTTGGCTAGAGATGGTGGAAAAGCTTGTGGTGTTTTCTTTTTTTTATTATTTTATTTTATTTTTTTGAGACAGTCTCGCTCTGTTACCCAGGCTCGAGTGCAGTGGCGTGATCTCGGCTCACTGCAAGCTCTGCCTCCTGGGTTCACGCCATTCTCCTGCCTCAGCCTCCAGAGTAGCTGGGACTACAGGCGCTCGCCACCATGCCTGGCTAATTTTTTTGTATTTTTAGTAGAGACGGGGTTTCACCATGTTAGCCAGGATGGTCTTGATCTCCTGACCTCATGATCTGTCCACCTTGGCCTCCCAAAGTGCTGGGATTACAGGCGTGAGCCACCGTGCCAGGCCAAGCTTGTGGTATTTTCGTGCTGTTGTCACTGATGTTGATCGGTTGAGCTGCCTTCTGGATGCTTTTTCTGAGCTATACCTCGCCTTAGCTGTATGAATTTTCTGACTCCAGTCCTATAGAGAAAACTCTACGGTAATATATGCCTTGCTGGCCGGGAAGGACGTGCCATAAGCTCCCCTCCCTGCCCCCACATACATGACATGAGAGATCTCAGAGGGGCCTACAGGGCGCAGCAGCAAAGACACAAGCAGATTCACTATGCGTGGCCTGTCAAAAGCTTCAGATCAGAAACAACCTCAGGGATCCTAGGGGATGGTTAGGTAAATGATGGTGCATCTCTAAAATAGAAAACTGTGCCACCCCTTTAAAAAAGTGCTTTCGGTATTATGAGGGATAATTTCCAAGCCATATTGTTAATTAGAAATAAAAAGGAAGATCAGAACAGTGTGTGTGGTATGTGCCTACTTCTGTGATTAAAAAATATTTACCTCGGCCAGATGCGGTGGCTCATGCCTGTAATCCCAGCACTTTGGGAGGCCGAGGCAGAAAGTCAAATAGTGGATCACCTGAGGTCAGGAGTTCGAGACCAGCCTGACCAACATAATGAAACCCCATCTCTACTAAAAAATATAAAAATTAGCCAGGCGTGGTATGGTGGTGCCAGCTACTTGGGAGGCTGAGGCAGGAGAACTGCATGAACCCGGCAGGTGGAGGCTACAGTGAGTCAAGAATGCACCACTGCACTCTAGCCCAGACAACAAGAGCGAAACTCCATTTCAAAAAAACAAAAAACAGGTGGAGGTATAAAAAGCTGAATAGAAAATGCATCTATTTGTTTAAAAAAAGAGAAAGGAGTGACATTTATATTAATGGGAAGGGTGGCTCCATCTTGACTCACTGCAACTTCCACCTCCCTGGTTCAAGAGATTTTCCTGCCTCAGCCTCCCAAGTACCTGGGATTACAGGAGTGTGCCACCATGCCCGGCTAATTTTTTGTGTGTTTTTAGTAGAGATGGGGTTTCACCATGTTGGCTAGGCTGGTCTCAAACTCGTGACGTCAGGCAACCCACACACCTTGGCCTCCCAAAGTTCTGGAATTACAGGCGTGAGCCACTGTGCCCGGCCTAAACATTTGTTTTAGAGAGACAGTGTCTCCCTGTGTTGCCCAGGCTGATTTCAGATTCCTGGGCTCAAATAATCCTCCCGCCTTGCCCTCCCAAAGTCCTGGGATTACAGGTATTTGCCACCCTGCCTGGCCGAGATATATTTTCTAAGCCTCAGTTTCTTCACCCAAAAAGTAGGAAAGAAGGTGGAATTGAAGAGAATAATGTTATTAATGATACCATAAGGTTGTTTTTAACAGTGGCTTTCAATAAATGTCGCTTCATAACATGGTGGATTCTGGAGCCAGACAGCCTGGGCTTAAATCACAGCTAAACCCCCTTTACTAGTTTTGTGACTTTGGGAAAGTTAATTAATCTCTGCACCTTGGTTCATTCATTTGTAAAATGGGCATTTTACTAGTACCTATATCACAGATTTTTATGAGTCACAAATTAATATATGTGAAATGCTTAGAACAGTCCCTGGTACTACTTTTCAACTGAATAAGGCCTTAAACGAAACTTTTATTCTATTTATATACAAATATATATATAAAATATACATAACATTTATATATAAATAACATATATATAACATATATGTGTGTGTGTGTTTGTGTGTGTGTGTGTGTATATATATATATTTTTTTTTATTTTGAGACAGAGTCTCGCTCTGTTGCCCAGGCTGGAGTGCAATGGCACAATCTCGGCTCACTGCAACCTCCGCCTCCTGGGTTCAAGTGATTCTCCTGCCTCAGTCTCCTGAGTAGCTGGGATTACAGGTGCCTGCCACCATGCCCAGCTAGTTTTTTGTATTTTTAGTAGAAACGGGGTTTCATTATTTTGGTCATGCTGGTCTCAAACTCCTGACCTCAGGTGATCCACCCATCCTGGCCTCCCTAAGTGCTGGGATTACAGGTATGAGCCACCGTGCCCGGCCTATTTATATATAATTTTTGAGACAGAGTCTCGCTCTGTCACCCAGGCTGGAGTCAAGTGGCGCGATCTCGGCTCACTGCAAACTCCACTTCCTGGGTTCAAATGATTCTTCCACCTCAGCCTCCTGAGTAGTTGGGGCTACAGGTGAACACCACCACGCCTGGCTAATTTTTGTATTTTTAGTAGAGACGAGGTTTCACCATGTTGGCCAGGCTGGTCTTGAACTGCTGACCTCAAGTGATTTTTATTTTAAATGATAGGGAACATAGTCCAGAGAAAGACATGCTTTAAAAAAGACTGTTGATCAGTAAGACAGCCAGGAACAAAACCCAATCTCCCAAATCCCAGTCTAGAATATTTTCCACTGTTTACTTCAGGCAAAAATACATTCCACATTGTGGTATAAAATTAGAAAAAAATGAAGAAAAGCCTATTTTGGATCAAATAAAAGGATACTGGGTTCAAATTTAGTTGTGTGGTCAAAGCCAAATTTCATAAACTCTCCAATCCTGCTCTTCCCTGGGAAAAAGATGAGGATAAAAATATGTACCTCGTAGTGTTGTCGTGGTAAGTAAGTTTATATATGTGAAATGCCTAACAAATAGCATTTCTCCATTAATGGAAATAATAATAATGCTAATTAACAGTCAATAGGTGATAGTATAGTTAGAATCAAGAATCCCCCATCTGTGGATAGACAGTTTTATTCTTCTCTTTCAGGGCTTGCAAATTAACTTGATAAATCATGATGTGGAGAATTATATTTATATACTTTATATATAATAATAACTATACAGACGCAGTTGGTAACAATTATTTTAAAACATATTGGAAGTATAAGCATAAATTCTAGTATCAGGGGTAGGGGTGAGCTGGTCTTATGAAATGTGACAATGAACTATCATGGTGAATAAGATTGGTTTCTGAATTGGGTAATAATATTTCTGATCAAAAGTAGATGTGTGGCCGGGCGCGGTGGCTCATGCTGTAATCCCAGCACTTTGGGAGGCTGAGGCAGGTGGATCACCTGAGGTCAGGAGTTTGAGACCAGCCTGGCCAACGTGGTGAAACCCCGACTCTACTAAAAATAGAAAAAATTAACCAGGCATGGTGGCGAGTGCCTGTAATCCCAGCTACTCAGGAGACTGAGGCAGGAGAATCGCTTGAAACCGGGAGGTGGAGGTTGCAGTGAGCCAAGATAGCACTATTGCACCCTAGCCCGGGCAACAACAGCGAAACTCCACCTCAAAGAAAAAAAAAGGAAAGAAATCAGTTTGGTACTTTCTCATAAAGTTAACCATAATCTTACTATAGTAGTTATCTTTTCCTGTATAGCAAATCGCTCCCAAATTTAGTGGCTTAAAATAGCAATAATTTTCTTCTTCTTCCTCTTTTTTTAATATCTCATGGTTTCTACAGGTCAGAATTGAGACAGTTAAGACCAACAAAGCTTACAGAGTAAAAAAAATTAAAATTAAAAAAAAAATTTTAAATAAATAAATCAAGACAGGGCACAGCAGAGGGTAGCTTGACTTTGCTGTACCATGTCTGGATCACAGCTGGAAGACTCTGAAGGCTGAGAAAAAAATCATCTGAGGCTTGTTCATTCACATGTCTAGTAGTTGATGTTGGTGTGGGCTGGGGGCTATCGTCTGGAATATCTACACATGGCTTTTCCATGAACTTCCTCACAACATGGTCCCTGGGATGAAAGGGCAAGCCTCCCAGGAGAGAAGAGGGAGGAGGGAGAACAGGATAGAAGGAGAGGGAGAGAGAGGGGGAGAGAGAGAGAGAGAGAGAGATCCTTGCCTTCAGGGGGATACAGATGTTGTAAGGGTACCCGTTTTTATACCTTTACAACATCTACAACATGGTAAGCAATGCTGTTACTTTAACAAGTGAAGTTAACACATGAATTTTTTAAAATGAGTTTGTTAACCTGTGGTTGGTTACTTTTATGTGTCAACTTGGTTAGGCCACAGTGCCCAAACATTTGGTCAAAGATTCTCCTGGATGTGTCTGTGAGGGTGTTTTTGGATGAGATTAACATTGAAATTGGTGAACATTAAGTACAGCAGATGGCCCTCCATACTGTGGGTGGGCCTCATCACATCAGTTGAAGGCCTGAATAGAACAAGAGACTCCCTCTCGCTCTCCCGGCTCCAGACAAGAAGAAATTCTGGGAATTCTGTCAGCTGACATCTTTTGGATTGAACCACAACACTGGCTCTTTTCTAGGTCTCTAGCCTACCAGCCCACACTGCAGATTTTGAACTTAGCCTCCATAAGCATGGATCGATTCCTTAAACAAAATCTCTCTCTCAGTCAGGCTCATGCCTGTAATCCCAGCACTTTGGGAGGCTGAATCGGGCAGATGGCTTGAGCTCAGGAGTTCGAGACCAGGCTGGGCAACATGGCAAAACACCATCTCTACAAAAAATTAAAAATTACCTGGGCATGGTGGCATGCACCTGTAGTCTCAGCTTCTCGTGAGACTGAGGCAGGAGGATTGCTTGAGCTAGGAGAGGTTGAGGCTGCAGGAAGCCAAGATTACGCCAGTGCACTCCAGCCTGAGTGACAGAGCAAGGACCTGTCTCAAAAAAAAAGAGAGAGAGAGAAATCTTTGTCTATAAATATGCACATCCTACTGGTTCTGTTTCTCTGGAGAGCACTATTACAGCCTGCTTTGCTAGTATCAACAAAACCACGGGCTTCTTGTCCAGAAGTTTTTGCCCCTGCTTCATAACTGCAAATGGAATTTTCATGGAAAATATTTCCTGTGTTGCTATTTTTTTTTTTTTTTTTTTTTTGTCATCCAGGCTGGAGTTCAGTGGTGCAACCTCAGCTTACTGCAACCTCCCCTCTGGGTTCAAGCGATTCTCATGCCTCAGCCTCCTGAGTAGCTGGGACTCCAGGTATGCGCCACCACGCCTGGCTGATTTTTGTATTTTTCATAGAGAGGTGTTTCACCACATTGGCCAGGCTGGTCTTGAACTGACCTCAGGTGATCTGCCTGCTTCGGCCTCCCAAAGTGCTGGGATTACAGGCATGAGCCACAGTGCCCAGCCACATTACTTCTTAATAATAGATAATGTGCCCTAATATACAGTATTTACATAAAGCCTTGCAGCAAGGTGGCAGTTTTCAGCCATTTTTTGAGGAGGATGTGAACAGGAGCCGTTACACGGCTCATCAGTCATCTGTTGCAAAGAAGCTGTGCTCAGCAGCGCAGAAGGATATCTTTCATTACTGGAAACCGTGAATCAGCTCGAGTGAAACAGGGCTCTGTCAGCTTATAACACTTAATTATGTTTTTAACTCCATAAATTAGTTCAAGTAAAGCCGTTTGAAAATAGCCAATTTCCAGTTTGAACTTACAGAAAATTAATGGCAAGAATGCAAACTTCTAATGTGTTAAGAAATTATTTGAATTTCTTAACTGTGTCTCCCACTAAAAGTTTGTGCTTTAAATTTTGTGTCAGTTCTGCATCAGAATTATTCAGTTTCCTCTTATGCAACAAACCCTAGAAAATTCTAAAGTTTCAGAATAAGAGCATTTCCTAAAGAAGAGAAAATATATTGGGGGTGGTGGGGGGGAATGGGATCAGTACGTGGCTCAAGTTTTTCACCCTTGAGGAGTTAAGAAAAACACTTCAACATAAGGACAAAAGCTCCCTTGTTTAAGCACTTCCCCAGCTGCACTTCAACTAAATATATCCTGGGCAGAGTGTTTTCATTTCTCCACCCCTCTCCTGAGCCAATCACATGGTGACAAACAGCTCGGAGGCCCCTTGGGACTAGCACTGCAGAGGTACAGGCTTGGTTACAGGGCTTCGCGTTCCTTTCCAGCACAGGCCTGCTCTGGGCCGCCCTGCCTCCCCCAGAGGCTGCAGGGAGCCCCAAGCAGGCGCATTGCGGGCTCTGCTCAGAGAGACGCCTCCACGGGTTAATTCAGCGGCCTCTGTCTGGAATTCATGCACCACCTGGGCTGACAGCATGAATGACTCATTGTTTCCCCTCTGAACAGGCTGAGGAGTGCTTCTTGGTGTCAATAACTGAGGCAAAGTAAAATTGTTTTTTCCCTTTCAACATGACCAATTTTCTAAGACTGAATATAGAACTGGAAATCTGCAGGGTGTGTTTCTTCTGCGGCAACGGTAGCCAAGGTTACTGCTTTGAGTTGGTCTGCAGGGACAGAGGATTAAAATTTACTGTCTATAAACAGAAGAAGGCCTAAAGCCAGAGCTCCTTTATTTACAGCTTGTGTCATGGTTTTATAAAATGAAGGAAACTTAATTGAAACCTCTAGTTTGTGTAAACCTGGGATCTGACTGTACACAATACCTGATTTTATTTCTAATACCCGTGATTTGTATAAATGAAGATTTTGATGATAATTTTCCCATAGCTAAGTATAAGACATGTATGCTTTGAAGTCCATATATGAATCTTCCATACCAGCATTTCCAAAGCAGTGTATTAATAATTATGCCCCACCTTCAATTTTCCTATATGGCACCCTTCTCATTTTCAGTTACTTTTAGTTTCCTTGGGAAACTGGACTGGTTGATATTCCTGGACTATGGGATCTTTTTGCCTTGCTTACGCATATCTCAGTCCAAAAGCTTGACAGCCAGAACTATACAGATATTTTACTACCTTTCTGCAAGTGTGCGTGTATAACACTCTTGTTTCTTTGAACTCTTGTTTCTTTGGCCTCTTATACTTTCCTAAACTTTAGGTGTTTTTTTAAAAAAATTCAAAAAGAGGCCGGGCGCGGTGGCTCATGCCTGTAATCTCAGCACTTTGGGAGGCCGAGGGGGTCAGGTCACGAGGTCAAGAGATGGAGACCATCCTGGCCACTATGGTGAAACCCCATCTCTACTAAAAATACAAAAATTAGCTGGGCATGGTGGTGTATGCCTGTAGTCCCAGCTACCCGGAGGCTGAGGCAGGAGAATTGCTTGAACCAGAGTTGGAGACTGCAGTGAGCCAAGATCACACCACTGCACTCCAGCCTGGCGACAGAGCAAGACTCTATCTCAGAAAAAAAAAAAAAAAAAAATTCAAAAAGAAAGATGTAGAAAAAAAAGAAATAAATGCAGAAAGGAAAGGGAAAAAGGTCTTGTGTAGATTCAGGACCTT
Source organism: Homo sapiens (assembly GCF_000001405.40). Classification (NCBI taxonomy): domain Eukaryota; kingdom Metazoa; phylum Chordata; class Mammalia; order Primates; family Hominidae; genus Homo; species Homo sapiens. The sequence goes on along the minus strand of NC_000015.10, from coordinate 92,830,649 downwards.
GGTTCTAATTCAAATCTGGGAGGTTAGCATGCAACAGAGTACTTTCTTCATCCAATTAAGTAGCAGCCCTGAATAGATTCCAAGTCATTCTGACTTTGAATAGGGATGAGGACAGCTGATACTGAAGAAGAGAGAATGTTGAGGCCCATGTATAGCCTTAAAAGAGAGAGAGAATGAACTTGGGATGTGGAGATTAAATAGGGCGTTTAATAAAATGGCAGTAGATGCTTTTATTTTAATTGGTATCAATCAGCTCAAGTAACCTTTAAATTTCTGCAATAACAGGAGACTGAGTTGGCTTTGGCAGGGCTCTCTATCCCAGGAATGGAAACTCACGCAGGTTCTGAATCAGAAAGAATCAAAATAACAAAAAAAAATTTCCGTCTTTCAAATCTATGCTATAATTTAGCAAACTGAGTATCTTTCCTTGCTTGCCAGTATCTTTAAAATAAAGTCAGGTATCAAAATATTTGTATTCCCTTTTTCGAAGCTAATAAAAACCTGCAAAGATTAAGTATTTCTCCATTTTTGTAGAGAACACAATTATTACAGCGTGCTTACAAAATGACAATTCTCAAAGCTTCAATTTCTCACATCTAACAGCTAGTAAATGTGTAGTAAATGTGTAGTTCTCTGAATGAGACCCTTTTACATCATATGCAATAAATCTATTTGTCAAAGAGTCTCCTTAGCTACTGAAGATTTCATGGTCCTTGTGCCAACAGAATCAAGCACTTTGGTTGAATATCTGGAGGATTGTGACTTGAGACATGCAGGATGGACACAATCCTACTATGTGCCATACGGTTTGGTTCTTCCAACAGAGTGAAAAAACTTCTAGGCAGCTTCTAGCCTCTGAGAAACGTGCCTTAATTAGCTGAGTGTGGCGGCGTGCGCCTGTAGTCCCAGCTACTAGGGAGGCTGAGGCAGGAGAATCACTTGAACCCGGGAGGCAGAGGTTGCAGTGAGCCGAGATCACGGACTACCACTGCACACTGCACTCCAGCCTGGGTGACAGAGTGAGACTCCATCTCAAAAAAAAAAAAAAAGAAAAAAAAAGAAAGGTGCCTTATTTCCATTTCTCATCAATACAGCCAGCTTTCCCTTGGCCCCACTTAGTCTTTTCATCAAGACAAGGCTCTCAAGACTAACTTTAAGTCCTTCCTAGTGGGCGATGTGTTCCTTCTGCTTTTCTCAAGTCCAGAGTAAGGGCAATTTACATAGCTGATTGTTCCTTTCAACTGCATAGAACTCTTTCACCACCAGTTTAATAAATGTAAAATTATCGGATGCAGGCTTCCCCTCAAGAGAATCCTTGTTGTATACACTTCAGTTTTTTTGTTTGTTTGTTTTTTAAGACAGAGTCCCGGCCAGGTGCGGTGGCTAACGCCTGTAATCCCAGCACTTCGGGAGGCCAAGGCGGGCAGATCACGAGGACAGGAGTTCAAGACCAGCCTGGCTAACATGGTGAAACCCCATCTCTACTAAAAAAAAAATACAAAAATTAGCCGGGTGTGGTGGCACGTGCCTGTAATCCCAGCTACTTGGGGGGCTGAGGCAGGAGAATCGCTTGAACCCAGGAGGCGGAGGTTGCAATGAGCCGAGACCGCGCCACTGCACTCCAGCCTGGCAACAGAGTGAGACTCCGTCTCAAAAAAAAAAAAAAAAAAAAAAAAAAAGACGGAGTCCCACTCTGTCACCCAGGCTGGAGTGCAGTGTTGCCATCTCAGCTCACTGCAACCTCCGCCTCCCAGGTTCACGTGATTCTCCCACCTCTACCTCTTGCGTAGCTGGGATTACAGGCATGCACCACCACGCCCGGCTAATGTTTGTATTTTTCGTAGAGACGGGGTTTCACCATGTTGGCCAGGCTGGTCTCCAACTCCTGACCTCAGGTGATCTGCCTGCCTTGGTCTCCCAAAGTTCTGGGATTACAAGTGTGAGCCACCACGCCTGGCCTTCTTCAGTTGTTTTTAAGTGGACCTAAAGGAAAACAAACTGGTGGTTCTTAAGGGCAGGGTTTGTCAGAATCAACTGAGGCTTTCCCAAATTAACACCATCCCCAACCACTGCTCTAGTAGTTCTCCAGATTTGGAAAGGGCCAATTTAGACAAGTAAAACAAAATGTAATTCCTTTAATTTTTATTATTTTATTTTATTTCATTTTTTAGAGACAGGATATCGCTATGTTGCCCAAGCTGGTCTTGAACTCCTGGCCTCAAACAATCCTCCTGCATTGGCCTCCCAAAGTGCTGGGGTTACAGTGAGCCACTGCACCCAGCCTAATGACTTTAAAATCCCAGGCAAGGAGAAGGGGACAGATGACTTGAGTTTTATTTCATGATGTCACAGCATGTTTGGAGCAAAGTGGAACACTCTGCCTTGGCTTCACATCGGTCCACAGTCAATAATGGCATTACAAGATAGCAAACGCGGCCGCGTGTGGTGACTCAGGCCTGTAATCGCAGCACTTTGGGAGGCCGAAACAGGCGGACCACGAGGTCAAGAGATGAGACCATCCTGGCCAACATGGTGAAACCCTGTCTCTACTAAAAGTACAAAAATTGGCTGGGTGTGGTGGCGCACACCTGTAGTCCCAGCTGCTTGGGAAGCTGAGGCAGGAGAATTGCTTGAACCCAGGAGGTGGAGGTTGCAGTGAGCCGAGATCACGCCACTACTGCACTCCAGCCTGGCGACAGATAGAGACTCTGTCGGGAAAAAAAAAAAAAAAGCAAACACTCAAGGTGTTCAGAAAGAGTCTCTATTCTGTGCAACCAGATAGGATTCTTGTTCAAACAATGTAAATCTAATCTACGAGAATTAGGAGAAAATAATAATTTAAAAATCCTTCCTCAGCCGGGCATGGTGGCTCATGCCTGTAATTCCAGCACTTTGGGAGGCCAAGGCGGGGCAGATCACTTGAGTTCAGGAGTTTGAGACCAGCCTGGGCAACATGATGAAACTCCATCTCTGCTAAAAATACAAAAATTAGCTGGGTGTGGTGGCAGGCGCCTATAATCCCAGCTACTCGGGAGACTGAGGCAGGAGAAGAGCTTGAACCTGGCAGGTGGAGGTTGCAGTGAGCAGAGAATGTGCCACTGCACTCCAGCCTGGGTGACAGAGTGATACTCTGTTCCCCCTTCCAAAAATAAATAAATAAATAAATAAATAAAAAATCCTTCCGTGTAAACAAAAGCTTTGTTAAATCTCTGGAATTAAAACCAATGTTTGTAGTTTCTGAAATACGGTTTTGTCAGCTTGATAAATTTCATTTGAAGGCCGGGCACAGTGGCTCATGCCTGTAATCCCAGCACTTTGGGAGGCCAAAGCGAGTGGATCATCTGAGGTGAGGAGTTTGAGAACAGCCTGGCCAACATGGTGAAATCCTGTCTCTACTGAAAGTACAAAAAATTAGGCCAGGCACGGTGGCTCATGCCTATAATCCCAGCACTTTCGGAGGCCAAGGCAGGTGGATCACCTGAGGTCAGAAGTTTGAGACCAGCTTGGCCAACATGGCAAAACCCCATCTCTACTAAAAATACAAAATTAGCTGGGCATGGTGGCAGGCGCCTGTAATCCCAGCGACTCAGGAGGCTAAAGCAGGAGAATTGCTTGAATCCAGGAGGCAGAGGTTGCAGTGAGCCGAGACCACACCACTGTCCTCTAGCCTGGGCAGAGTGAGTCTCCATCTCAAAATAATAATAATAAGTAAATAAATAAATTTCACGTGAAACAGAACCTCAACATATTACTACTTTGCACTTGCATCAGTACTTACATCACTGGTGTTTAGAAAGATAGTATTTATTTGGACACTCATTTTGTTATGTAAGCATTGATAGCAACAAAACTAACATTTTTTTTTTCTTGTTCCTGTTTTTTTTTGTTTTTTTGTTTTTTTTTTTTTTTGAGATGGAGTCTCGCTCTGTTGCCCAGGCTGGAGTGCAGTGGCGTGATCTCAGCTCACTGCAAGCGCTGCCTCCCGGGTTCACGCCATTCTCTTGCCTCAGCCTCCCCAGCAGCTGGGACTACTGGTGCCCGCCACCACGCCCGGCTAATTTTTATTTATTTATTTATTTTATTTTTAGTAGAGATGGGGTTTCGCCATATTAGCAAGGATGGTCTCGATCTCCTGACCTCATGATCCACCCGCCTCAGCCTCCCAAAGTGCTAGGATTACAGGCATGAGCCACTGCACCCGGCCTCTTGTTCCTATGTTTTGCAAAACAGTTCTTAGTTCTACCCAGCAGATAATGTCTACCTTATATAAGGTGCTGTGGATAATGGCTGAAAAACCAATTACTCATATGAACTGAACTTTTTTGTATGCATTCTATATTTCTGGAGTCATTAAGGACAAAATGCATATGTATAACTTAACTCACAGGCTTTTGCCAAGGCAGTAACTATAGGAAACTGAGTATTGTGTTGCTGGGGCTTAGAAAATGATACCTGAAAGTTCGGTGCTTTGGCATGCCAAGTACTTTGAACTGAACGATGATAGAAGGGCCTCAGAAGCAAAGTCTCTCTCAGAACTTCTCTTGCCCTCCTGTCTTCCTCTCCCACTTTTCCCCAAAACAGGCCATAGAAACTAGAATTCCTTTTCCCCAAGGTGGGTCACAGAAGCCAGAAATACTACTCTAGGATTCCCCTGCCTTTCTGTTTAGGAACTGGCCATAAACAAATTCTCTGACCTATCTTGTCTGATACAGTAGATCATAAGACCCTTGTTCTGCAAGGGGTCCTTCCCTATACCCAGGAGGAAAGGGTGCTGCACAGACAGGCCAAGAAGGATCTGAACAGACAGGTCTTGGTGGGTTTCCCCACCTCAGACTATCAGTACTAGCTCAGACCTGCTTTGATATTTCCACATGCCTGCCATTCTTCATGAACCCTAAGCATAAAAATGGATAGCTTTGCGGCTGGGCGCTGTGGCTCACGCCGGTAATCCCAGCACTTTGGGAGGCTGAGGCGGGCGGATCACGAGGTCAGGAGATCGAGACCATCCTGGCCAACATGGTGAAACCCTGTCTCTACTAAAATACAAAAACAAAAAAATTAGCCAGGCATGGTGGCGAGCGCCTGTAGTCCCAGCTTCTCAGGAGGCTGAGGCAGGGGAATCGCTTGAACCTGAGAGGCAGAGGTTGCAGCGAGCTGAGATGACGCCACTGCACTCCAGCCTGGCGACAGAGCGAGACTCCGTCTCAAAAAATAATAATAATAATAAAGGATAGCTTTCCGTGGGCCTTTGGGTCTTCATTTCTGAAGGCTCCCCTGTCATATAAAACTTTGATTAGATAAATTTGTCGTGCTTTTCTCTTGTTAACCTGTCTTTTGTCATAGGAGTGTTGCTGTGTGATCTTTACTATGGGTGAAGAAAGGTATCACATTTTTCTGCCCCTACACTTCCCTCACTCAACTAAAATGCAGCAAATGTTAGAAATGATGTCCAAGGTGAAATTAAAGGATTGGCTAAAGGGTAATTTGGGAAGTCTGTTTAAGTGGGTAATTAGGGAATTCTGTTTAAGTTTGGTATTTGTTTGTTTTGTTGTTGTTGTTGTTGAGACAGGGTCTTTGTCACCCAGGCTGGAGTGCAGTGTCACAATCATAGTCCACTGCAGCCTCAACCTCTTGGGCTCAAATTGTTCTCCTGCCTCAGCCTCCTGAGTAGCTGGGACTACAGGCACATACCACCATGCCTGGCTAATTTTTAAAATTTTGTATAGAGACAGGGTCTCCCTATTTTGTCCTGGCTGATCTCAAACTCCTAGGCTCAAATGATCCACCCACCTCTGCCTCCCAAAGTGCTGGGATTATAGTCATGAGCCACCACCGCACCCAGCTAGTTTGGAATCTTAACCATTTGCTGAACTTGTTTATCCTTCCTTCCTCCTCCCCCACGACTCCAACCATGCCTCAGTTTTTGACCCTAAGAGTCAAAAATTCAAATATCTATAGAGGCCAGGAAGTTAACTTTAATGAGCAAAGCAGCTAGATTTAAGAAAAATAGAAACAGACACATTTTATGTGTCTAATAAACAGAGGCAACTCTTCATTTCCACTAAGAAATGGGCTCCCTCGGTTGGGTGCAGTGCCTCACGCCTGTAATCCCAACACTTTGGGAGGCCGAGGTGGGCAGATCACCTGAGGTTGGGAGTTTGATACCAGCCTGACCAACATGGAGAAACCCCATCTCTGCTAAAAATACAAAATTAGCCGGGCGTGGTGGTGCATGTCTGTAATATCCCAGCTACTCGGGAGGCTGAGGCAGGAGAATTGCTTGAACCCAGGAGGCAGAGGTTGCAATGAGCCGAGATCACACCATTGCACTCCAGCCTGGGCAACAAGAGCGAAACTCTGTCCCCCCGCCCCCCCCCCCCCCCCGCAAAAAAGGGCTCCCTCTCATTATTCTTGAAAGATGCTTTTGTCTTGTTTTCTCTCTTTTGGTACTTAGAAATACTTTACTCCAAGAAAAATACTAGTGCAGATTCAATATAAATGACACTTCATACTTAGCATCAATGGAGAAGCAACAGGGAATGGCAAAGGCTATGGCAAAGTGGACAGCTCATATACCATCTAAAGTAGCACTAGGCACCTGCTGATAGGGTAGCCATATCTTGTTCTTTTTTTTTTTTTTTTTTTTTTTTTTTGAGATGGAGTCTCATTCTATCACCCAGGCTGGAGTACAGTGGCGCAATCTCGGCTCACTGCAATCTCTGCCTCCTAGGTTCAAGAGATTCTCCTGCCTCAGCCTCCCAAGTAGCTGGGATTACAAGTGTGCACCACCACACCTAGCTAATTTTTGTATTTTTAGTAGAGACAGGGTTTCACCATGTTGGCCAGGCTGGTCTCGAACTCCTCACCTCAGGTGATCCACCCGTCTCGGCCTCGCAAATACTGGGATTACAGGCATGAGCCACCCCACCTGGCTGCTGTATCTTGTTCTTTAGATGAGCAAAAAGTAAAAAAAAAAAAAAAAGGCGAAGTCTCTGATTTGTATGTAAATTCAGATTTTAAAATGTAGCTTCAAATTTTACAAAACGAATGTTAAAAAGAGCCCAACAAAATAGTTTGGTGGGCTTGACTCAACCTGTAGGCCACCAGTTTTAAGATCTCAGATCTACTCATGTAGGCACCCTGCCGTGAAGTGCTGGGAACAAAAAGATTTAAAAAATCTTTGAATATAAAATAAGAAGTTTATGGACTAGAGAATTAAACATGACTACCCACACTTAACTATCTGTGTGCTGTAATAGGAGAAATTACCAAGTGGTCTGGGAGCCCAGGGGAGACCAAATCAGATGCAGGTGCATGAGCAGTAAGGTAGGTCAGGGAAGGATTCCAGAAGGAAAGGATAGTAGGAACTGTCTTGCTGGTTGAGCCAAGCCAGCAGAAATGGTGAAGGAAGGTGGTCCAGGCTTGGTTATCAGCACAGCCACAAGTAGCCTGAGTCTTTTGGAAAAGAAGCTAAGGTAGGATGCTAGAAGCAAAGATGTCTTAAGATCAGGAGGTCAGTGGAGAGAAGTCCTTCTTGTGAGGCATCTCCAAGGTGCCTACATGAGTAGAAGAGAGCAGACTGAGGAGTGAAGACAACTCAAAAGAACATCAAGGCCAGTTGCCTGGTCTGCATTTCTTAGACACATTATTGTGGCCTGGTGCAGCATGCAAACTCACTTCAGCATCTGCCAGAAATTAGGCTTAATTTCAAAGAAACCAGGAAGTAAAAGTTTCCATCAAAATAGAGGATTTAACCCCCAGCATTTGACAATACCTTCTCCTGGCTTCCCACTATCTGATTCATTATTATGTCTGTGGAAAGGGTGGGCCAACAAGCTGACTCTGAGTGCAAGCTGACTCTTTGACTGGAATAGCTGGTCTAATCTTGACACAGATGCAGATCTAAAATGTAAATCAATGTGTCCCGGGTACAGCAAGGGAAAAAGACTCCCCTTCCTCCCTTCCTTTCAGCATTTATTTGAGAAAACTTGTAAGGGAAAATTCTTTCTCTAACCCTTTGAGAGGTATGTAAATCTTTTTAAAAGCTAAATAAGCCTCTTACCAGCTTTACAGCCCAGAAATGTCTTACTCAGTGACCTGGGAGCTGTCTCTTTGAAATGCAATCACCACAGAAGGTAGCATCCCTACTTACAGTTTCTGTGGGAGAGCAGGAGTGTTAACTCCAGTAGGTGCCTTACTTCAAGGTGCAAACCTAATTCCTGTTATAAAAATGTAAGTTTATTTTTCCTCTAAATAAAACTAATTAGCTAACACAGATTACCAGCTACCAATTACTGTGTGCATTTTGCATGAACTAGCTGTGACAAGTGGTGCTGCCAAGTCCTCTTACTTGGAGACTGGTTACTATTTAATCTTGAAAACATGTATGGTAACGGGGTATATCTGCTTAGGTATGTAAAAGGGTGAAATTTCTTTCTGTCCTTTGCAATCTCTAGCTAATGACCTGTGATGCACACCACATTTGAACTTAATGCTTATTCTATCATAGAACTGTTTTTTCTTCTGCTTTTGTGGGTAGGTTTTTTTGTTGTTGTTGTTTTGTTTTTTGGGTTTTTGTTTTTCCTTTATAGGTTGGCAGAAAATTTTAAATTATACTTCCCCAATCCCTGCCACCAAGGTTGGCTAGGGTTGGGGCTTTCAGCTCAGAGGGAAGCATCTAAATGGCTGGATGACTAATACCTGATTCAAATGTGAGAAGTCAGTTCGCAACAAAGAGAGGTGTACTTCAGGGAAAGAGGCTTTCACACTCTGCAAGTGCTGCACTTAGAAGACATCATGTACTCCCAGTAGTATTATATTTACAGAGGCAGTATATAGCACAATGGCTGCCTTAGGGCAGGCTCTTATCAGACTGCTTGGGTTTGGATGCGGATTCCACCATACACGACTAGCTGTGGCACCTCAGGCAATTACTTAACCTTCCAGAGCCTTAGTTTCTCTATCTGTAAAATGGGGAATAAAATGGAGGTACCTATCTTAATGGCAGTGCTCGGCAGAATAAATGTTAATTAGTATCTTTTTGATGTGAATTAGTATTACTTAGCAACTTTATTTGAAGGTTTGTTACAGGCAGAGCCACTTTCGGGATACAAAGATGGATAAGAAACAAAGTTCCTATCCCCAAGGAATTTATAATCTAATAATAATTATAGTGGTGCCATAAGATCAGATCTAGGTGTAAGTTTTTTTTTTTTTTTTTCCCCCGAGACAGAGTCTGGCTCTTGTTGCCCAGGCTGGAGTGCAATGGCGCGATCTCGGCTCACTGCAACCTCAGCCTCCCGGGCTCAAGCGATTCTTCTGTCTCAGCCTCCCGAGTAGCTGGGCCCGGCCGTAAACTAATATTTCAAGAAAAAGAAAAATAGGGCCGGGCGCGGTGGCTCACGCCTGTAATCCCAGCACTTTGGGAGACCGAGGCAGGCGGATCGCCTGAGGTCAGGAGTTGGAGACCAGCCTGGCCGACATGGTGAAACCCTGTCTCTGGTAAACATACAAAAAAATTAGCCAGGTATGGTGGCGGGGGCCTATAATCCCAGCTACTTGGGAGGCTGAGTCAGGAGAATCCCTTGAACCCGGGAGGCGGAGGTTGCAGTAAGCCCAGATCGGGCCACTGCACTCCAGCCTGGGCGACACAGCGAGACTCTGTCTCAAAAAACAAACAAAAAAAAGAAAAATCAACAAGTATTTTTAAAAGGGGAGTGGACATGGCCCGGGGCATCATTACCCAAACTGAACTACACGTAATTATATGGTTCTATAGTTAACCGTCATCGCCCAGACTTCTTCCTGAGCTAGTTTAACAAGAAAAGCCAGAATTCTTATCAAAAGCAACAACGAATGCAAAAGCCCTGCCACAGAAAGGCTGAGACCATGGCTTACACACCTGGTGGCACTCCCTTGATTTTTCTCATCCAGACAACATAACTGAACGGATTTTTGTAAGGTTGTAACAGTAAATAAATATTGACATTGAACAGGCTGAAAGCCAGCCATATAACTCTTGCTTTCCGCTAAGCTCAACAGTGTGCAACTGGCTTTGTTCCTGGCGCACTAAAACAGGATTCGGAGGCCATCTTGGAAACAAAAGGGCCCTGGGCGCCGGGGGTGGAGGAGGCGGTATCCTGGCAACGGAGGCGCGCGCCCTGCCGCGCAGCCGCATTTTGCCGCGCCCAGCATCCCGCCGCGTCGGCGGGGCGGTGGAAAATTACCGCAGATTCCTCTTAAAGGCGCCCTGACATTTCCTGCCTGAAACCTGTGCGCTGGTCGGCCTGGGTTGCGGCTCCTGGGAAGCCAAAACGTGAAATGGGGTTTCCATCCTGTCTTCCTAGAGGAAATAAAATTCAGGTCGAAGACAGTTCCCAGGGTAGCAGTAGTCTCTAACTGGGCAAATAGTGTCGGAGAATAGGCTTCCTCAAATTAAGGGAAAAAAAAAAGAAAAAACCCCAAACCAAACCAAACTAAAATAAACCCTAAAATATTGACTCGGGCAAAAGAGAGCTACTCAACACGGGAACGGAACAAAAGAAACAACTTCACAAAGTCACACTGACTGTGTAACAGGTTTAAAAAATGAATGGGTCCTGAAGCAACGATAACTCATTTTTGACAAATGGATGGACAAATTATAGCTTACCAGGAATGACCAGAAAAAAGAATTAACTTATTTGAGAAGCTAAGCATGATCAGAAAACGTATCATCTCTTTGTAGATCAGTTCTTAACAGTAGAATAAGTAATCCCTCTTCCTTTGTCCTCAAATTACTTTCGTTCAGGTTAGTCACTTCTGTGATTTACAAGTTAAGCGGTAGTTTATTGCTGTCTTGCTTTTCTGACAGAAGAAATAAATAACAATGCCCCGGGTTTTTGCAACGTAAACATCCAGGATATATCCTACGGGAGTCCATGGCTCTGAAATTAATCTCCTTACCAAGCAAAATTTACTGGGAGCCCTCCTTGAAATAACTGAATAAAAAAGAAATATTGGTCTCCCGGAAGTAGAGCTCTTGACACATTAAATATCTCTTCAGTCCATTTCCAAAGATGAAAGATACAGCCCTTCGCTGGGTGCCTTCTCTGATGGTTTGCTCGGTGGTAGATGTCTGTTTGCTGTAATCTGCTGTCAGGCATACCCGTCCACTCCTCCTGAACCCTGCTCTGATGGCAGGCATGACTGTGGCCATCAGGATGGCTTCTCATGAAATATAGAGGACAGAGATGTTCCAGTCTTATCATGGCCTTGGCAAATTGATTTTTCGTTCCCGGATTGAGCCATTTTCCCCATGCTTCTCAGCCATATTCAGCCACATTTATTGCACCTCCACCCCAACCCCCTTTTAACATATCCCTTTTTTCCCTAACGTAAATGCTCCGAAATTCCAGTCACCACTTCTTAGTAATTTCTGACGGACGTTTCATGTTTTTCAGAATGCGGAGCTGTGATATTTGAGTACTAAACAAATGTTTTGCATGAGTTTAGACACCTAGGGACAGTGTTAGCCGGTAATTTTCAAGTTTGGATGTTGAAGGGATGGCGACTTATCACAGGGAAAATTAATTACGTGCAATGAAAAGGTTGTAGTGTAGAACTGTCATCCACTTTGAAGCTTCAAGGGAACGCGATTTAATGTGATAGGAACTGTGACTGTAAAACAAAAATATGTGCAGCTGCAGTTGGTGCCCACATTTTTGGTTTTGATGCTCATTTACCAGTACTAAGAAACTGAAATCTGAAAATGCCTTCTTTCAGATCACCTGGTGGCTCTAACTTTTGCAAAAGTCGTGGAAAGCCTAATGTATAATAATATGTAATGGCTGCCAAGCTAGGTCGGCGCAGAGACCGGGTTGGGTAGTGTCACTCCCACCTTTCCTCTGCAGGGAAGTGGCATTTTACAGCCCAGACAGCTCTGCAGGGTTTCTAATGGCCTACAGCAGCCCCATCGCCATACCTGGAGATAATCTTCCTTTAACTAAGACGTACTGCAGAATAGAGACTTCAAGAAAATATACAGAGAATGCCAGCGGAAAGATACAGGGGCATTTGCCCTCTCAAATACAATTCTGTTAAGTGGCTAAACTCTGATGTTTAAAATATAATAAAATAATTTTGAAGAAAGCAAAGTGTTTAAATGTATGTAAAAAAGCAAGGAGAGTTGGAGGACTGGCTATCTAATAAAGATGATAAAATTGCATAGTTCATAAAATTATCTAAGAACAGGATCTGAGTGCAAGAAGGCAGGGTTTGGAAATTTGGCCTTTGAGGTAAGGCCGCCAGATAAAATACATCAGTCAAATTTGAATTTTTGATAAACTGAATAATTTTTTTAGTGTAAGTAATATTTGGGACATACATTTAAAAAGATAGTTTGTGGTTTGTGATTCAAATTTAACTGGGCAACTTGGACTTTTATTTACTAAATCTAGCAATCCTAGTTTAAGGGTCTACACACTTACAGAGGGCATATGTAATTAGGTTTCTACACCTTCATCAGAATGGCAAACAACACCAGAAAGCCTCCAGTTCAAGGTGCCCAGCCAAGATGCGAATGTGACAAACACAGCATACAGGTGTGTTGCCCCTAATAAGTAACTTCAGGGATGGCCTCCAAGTGCAGCCCATCCAAATATTATGAGCACTTACTATTAACTTGTTCATTCATCCATTCATGCAACAATTATTTATTGAGTGCCTGCTGCGTGCCAGGCATAAATTTTGGGAAAAGTAAGATAAACAAAGAAAAAATCCCTGTCTCTGAAGGGTTCTTATTTTTGTCTGGAGGACTAACATGTAAAATGATAATTGCCATAAATGACAAGTGATCACATAGTTTGATTAGAGAGAGAGCAGAAACATCAAGTTAAGCTTATCTAAGATTGATGGCAGGGGCGGGGGACAGAGAAACTTCAAAGAGGAAGTGACTTCGATGAGCTGGTCTCAAAGGAGTCTAAGCTGGCAGAGTTGGGAAGGACCTCAGTAAAGAGAACGGCATGAATAAAGGCTAGAAGTGGGTGAGGACGTTGTGGATATTTAAAAAACAAAACAAGACAAAAGCAACAAATTACAAAAACATAGTGAAAAGTCAGCTATAGCAGGAGCCACCGGAGGAAGGTTTGCTGGAGATGTCTGATAATATAGGCTGGGGTGACATTGTAAAAGTGAGTCTATAGAGCTCAAAGTCTCCTGTGCACAAGCAGACTAGGATAAGGGTGATGGTGAAAGAGATCAGTGATGGGAGACTTTTTCCATTAACTCTTTTTTTTTTTTTTGAGACGGAGTTTCGCTGTTGTTGCCCAGGCTGGAGTGCAATGGCGCGATCTCAGCTCACTGCAACCTCTGCCTCCCAGAGTCAAGCGATTCTCCTGCCTCAGCCTCCCTAGTAGCTGGGATCACAGGCATGTGCCACCACGCCCGGCTAATTTTGTATTTTTAGTAGAGATGGGGTTTCTCCATCTTGGTCAGGCTGGTCTCAAACTCCCGACCTCAGGTGATCCGCCCACCTCGGCCTCCCAAAGTGCTGGGATTATAGGCATGAGCCACCGCGCCTGGCCATCCATCCATTAACTCTTAAAAAATGTAAAGAGATTAAAACTGACTTAAAAAAATGTGTATGTGCACGTGTATCACTTTGCAATGGATCCTAGGAACATAAAAATGAATACGGTATCAATCTTACCTTCTAGATAGTCTAGGTTTCCCAGGGAAACCTTCCACACATGGGATAAGTGCTGTAATATAACAAGTAAACACCGTGAAAAGTCTGGGAGTATGAAAGAAGGAGAAACTCCTGGAAGGAACAGAGAGGGCCAGTCAGGGCTTCCCAAAGGAAGAGATGCTAGATTTTTTTTTTAATTAAAAAATTTAATATTTATGCAAATCGTTAGACATTTTCCCAACAATACAAAACAGTATACAGTGAAAAGAAAATCTTTCCTCACCCAGACCCTTGACTGCCCATCAGAGGCATCCTTCCCATTAATATAAATATCACTCTGGCCAGGCGTGGTGGCTCACGCCTGTAATCCTAGCACTATGGGAGGCCGAGGCTGCCAGATCACGAGGTCAGGAGATCGAGACCATCCTAGCTAACATGGTGAAACCCCATCTCTACTAAAAGTACAAAAAAATTAGCTGGGCATGGCGGTGGGTGCCTGTAGTCCCAGCTACTCAGGAGGCTGAGCAGGAGAATGGCGTGAACCTGGGAGGCGGAGCTTGCAGTGAGCAAAGATCACGCCACTGCACTCCAGCCTGGGAGACAGAGCGAGACTCTGTCCCAAAATTAAATAAATAAATAAATAAAATGAAAATAAATATCACTCCTTTCTCTTTTTTTTACACAAATAGATGCATTTTGTATTCAGTTTTTCATACCTCCTTTTTTTTTTCTTTGAGATGGAGTTTCGCTCTTGTTGCCCAGGCTGGAGTGCAATGGCACAGTGTCGGCTCACTGCAACCTCTGCCTCCCGGGTTCAAGCGATTGTCTTGCCTCAGCCTCCTGAGTAGCTGGGATTACAGGCATGTGCCACCATGCCCGGCTAATTTTGTATTTTTAGTAGTGACAGGTTTCTCCATGTTGGTCAGGGTGGTTTCGAGCTCCTGACCTCAGGTGATCCTCCCGCCTTGGCCTCCCAAACTGCTGGGATTACAGGCATGAGCCCCCACACTCGGCCTATTTTTTCCCATTTAACAATGTATTTTAGAAATCAGTGCATATAGGCTGGGCGCAGTGGCTCACGCCTGTAATCCTAGCACTTTGGGAGGTCGAGGTGGGCGGATCACCTGAGGTCAGGAGTTCAAGACCAGCCTGGCCAACATGGCGAAACCCCGTCTCTACTTAAAATACAAAAATTAGCCGGGCATGGTGGAGACTAATTAGGAGGCAATTGGCCAAAGGAGAAGGAGGCATTGACAGCGGGCAGAAAGTGGATTAAGGAAGCAGGATTGATAATTACCACCGTCTATTGAGAATTTATTATTTGTGCCAGGCATTTTACTAAGTACTACATACTGTCCAGCATTTATCCAATTCTTGGAACAAATAAAGAAATATTTGCAATTTACAAGTAGGAAACTGAAGCTCAGAAATATTAACTGCTCAATGTTACACAGTTTGGAAAGGACAGAACTGGACTCCAACTCTGCCTCCCTCTGACTCCCAAGTCCCAGTTCTTTTTTTTTTTTTTTTTTTTTGAGACGGAGTCTCACTCTGTCGCCCAGGCTGGAGTGCAGAGGCGTGATCTCAGCTCACTGCAACTTCCACCTCCCGGATTCAAGCGATTCTCCTGCTTCAGTCTCCTGAGTAGGTGGGACTACAGGCATGTGCCACCACTCCTGGCTAATTCTGTATAGTTTTAGTATAGATGGGGTTTCACCATGTTAGCCAGGATGGTCTCGATCTCCTGGCCTCGTGATCCGCCCGCCTCAACCTCCCAAAGTGCTGGGATTACAGGCTTGACCCTCTGCGCCCGGCCCAAGTCCCAGTTCTCAAACACAGTTCCACAGGGCCTTGGAAGAACCAGGAGCAAGGCTTTAGGGCTATTTGATATGGGGGAGGAAGAGAAATTTGGGGGAGACTAGTAGTGATACATAGGCCTAGAGCCCTAACCCTGTTGGAATGTGCCCATGAGAAAACAGGGTTAAAAATATAGGGGGAGGCCAGGGTTGGTGGCTCACACCTGTAATCCCAGCACTTTGGGAGGCCGAGGTGGGCAGATCACTTGAGGTCAGGAGTTTGAGACCAGCCTGACCAACATGGTGAAACCCTGTCTCTACCAAAAAATAGAAAAATTAGCCAGGCGTGGTGGCACGCACCTGTAGTCCTAGTTACTATGGAGGCTGAGGCAGGAGAATTGCTTGAACCCTGGGAAGTGGAGGCTGTAGTGATCTGAGATTGTACACTCCAGCCTGGGCGAAAGAGGGAGACTCCGTCTCAAAAAAAAAAAAGGGTGTGGTCAGAACTGATCGCCCAAGGAAAGAGCATTGCATTCTCTGGGATTGTTTTTAAGATGATCATGTACTCGCTTCTAATTTTTTCCCATTATTCATGCCTTTGTTTTATTCCTCTTTACTATTCTGTGTTCTCTAAATGATTTGGAGAGAGCAAAGGAATGGCTGTGGCAAGTACAGTATAATTTTGGAATAACAGACTATTGAAGACCATGCGTGGTGGCTCACACCTGTAATCCCAGCACTTTGGGAGGCCAAGGCGGGTGGATCACGAGGTCAGGAGTTTGAGACCAGCCTGGCCAAGATGGTGAAACCCTAGCTCTACTAAAAATACAAAAATTATCCGGGCGCGGTGGTGGGCACCTGTAATCCCAGCTACTTGGGAGGCTGAGACAGGAGAATCGCTTGAATCTGGGAGGCTGAGGTTGCAGTGAGCCGTGATAGTGCCACTGCCCTCTAGCCTGGGCAACAGAACAAGACTCCGTCTCAAAAAAAAAAAAGACTATTGAACTTGCCAATTTAGCAGCAAAGACTCTGGGGTCTACAGTCTAGGATATGAGACAACCTATAGATTGCCTCTTTCATTTCTGGAAGGACTGAGGAAAGAGGCAAATTTACAAGACGTTTTCCTTTCATTGCTAGGCAGTAACTGTACCTCAGTAAAAGGATATTTTCAAAGGCCCTTGAGATTAAAAAGAACTTTTTTTCTTCTTCTCCTCCCTCTCTTCTTCCTCAGTCATATCAGTAGCAGATATGAAATTTCAGCTTTAAGGAGACAGGCTTCTAAGAGCTATAGCTTCCACAAGCTGTTCAAAGTCAAGTGTTCCTTAAAACAATTGAAATGTAAAATATTCATCATTATCTGCTTTAGGTATCAGCTATGAAATACGAATGATAAAACAAACAAAAATATCTAGAGCTGCTTTGAAAGGATCACCATGAATCTCTGGTAACAGATTTTAATCTCAGATGCACAGTGCTGGTTAGGTAAAAAAAAAATTCTCACGTTTATTGTGGTTCTGTAGAATCAGACTACTTAGTAACTTTGCAAAGGTTTACTTGGAGACTTTGAATTGACCTCAAATACCGTAGTCGAAGAGATCAACCTCTGCCATAGGGTACTGTCACTAAAAGGAAGACTATTACAGAATAATGACTGCCATCTATGGTAGTTTTTATTTTTTTTGAGATGGAGTTTCACTCTTGTTGCCCACACTGGAGTACAATGGCACGATCTCAGCTTACTGCAACCTCCGCCTCCAGGGTTCAAGCGATTCTCCTGCCTCAGCCTCCCGAGTAGCTGGGATTACAGGTGCCCGCCACCACGCCCAGCTAATTTTTGTATTTTCAGTAGAGATGGGGTTTTGCCATCTTGGCCAGGCTGGTCTCGAACTCCTGACCTCCAGTGATCTACCCTGCCCGGCCTCCTAAAGTGCTAGGATTACAGGCGTGAGCCACTGTGCCTGGCCTATGATAGTTCTTACAGCCCCATATCCTTTTAATATTAACAAAGTTTTCTTCATTCTACTGGAATGTATTTTATTGCAAGTATAGTAAGTAGAAGGATTTCATTTAAAGAGAAACTAGGGTTAAAAATATAGGAGGTGGCCAGGCGTGGTGGCTCGCGCTTGTAATCCCAGCACTTTGGGAGGCTGAGGTGTGCAGATCCCTTGAGATCAGTCGGGAGTTTGAGACCAGCCTGACCAACATGGTGAAACCCCGTTGCTACCAAAAAATACAAAAAAATTAGCCTGACGTGGGCCGGGCGCGGTGGCTCACGCCTGTAATCCCAGCACTTCGGGAGGCTGAGGCGGGTGGATCATGAGATCAGGAGTTCGAGATCAGCCTGACCAACATGGTGAAACCCCGTCTCCACTAAAATTACGAAAATTAGCCGGGTATGGTGGCACACATCTGTAATTCCAGCTACTCGGGAGGCTGAGGCAGGAGAATCACTTGAACCCTGGAGGCAGAGGTTGCAGTGAGCCGAGACAGAGCCATTGCACTCCAGCCTGGGCAATAAGATTGAGACGCCATGTCAGAAAACAAACAAACAAACAAACAAAAAAGGCCGGGCACTGTGGCTCAAACCTGTAATCATAGCACTTTGGC
Source organism: Homo sapiens (assembly GCF_000001405.40). Classification (NCBI taxonomy): domain Eukaryota; kingdom Metazoa; phylum Chordata; class Mammalia; order Primates; family Hominidae; genus Homo; species Homo sapiens. Next base: position 92,812,580 of record NC_000015.10, on the reverse strand, counting down.
AAGCTGAGGCAGGTGGATCACCTGAGGTCAGGAGTTCGGGAGCAGCCTGGCCAACGTGGAAAAACCATGTCTCTACTAAAAATACAAGCCAGACATGTTGGCACGCGCCTGTAATCCAGGTACTCCGGGTGCCGAGGCAGGAGAATCGCTTGAACCCAGAGGGGTGGAGGTGGCAATAAGCCGAGACAGCGCCATTGTACTCCAGCCTGGGCAACAAGAGTGAAACTCCATCTCAAAAACAAACAACCAAACAAACAACAAAACCAAACGTTCATTTACACTTAAATAATTTTAGGGCAAAGTTTATATCCTTGCTGCACATCAGAAAGAAAATTTTAGCAATTAGTTTCCTTTGCCTCACATCTCCACATAGAAATGAACTAGTTAAAAAGAAAAACAGGTTTCCGTGTATTAAGCAGGTTGACGGTGAAGGAGTCCTTTTAAATATTTAACTTGAAGTTAATGTCCATGTCCGGTATTTATTGGACACACATGCATATAAAAAAATACATAGAGAATATACAATTTACAATTTTCATTAAAAAACCAATATCAATTTAGAAGAGTGAGGGCAATTAAAGTTGAGCTAGGACATGAGCTAGGTTGGGGAGGCAATACAATTAACAATTCGGTTTGGAGAGTTAAAATATGTATCAAAAAACCTTAAAAGATTCATTGTAAATCTTATTTTACAGAAATCTGTACAAAACTTTTTCTATTAAAATGTTCATGCCAGCATTATTTACAGAAGCAAAAAACGAGCTGCATACAGCATATTGTGCCTGTAGTCCCAGCTACTTGGGAAGCTCAGGCTGGAGGATTGCTTCAGCCCAGGGGTTTTAGGCTGTAGCGCACTATGATCTCACCTGGGCAACACCTTGTCTCAAACAAAACAAAACAAAACCCAAAACCTATTTAACAAATCTGGTGTCCAATAAGAGAACTGTTAATGGTTAACTACGGCATACTCATCTGCTGGAATACTGTGCAGACTGTAAAACTCATGAAAATTCTTACTGATATAAAAAAGTACATTATACGTAAATACAAAATGTAGGTTATAAAACTATGTCTAGTATTATTTTAAGACAAATACAGTTGTACAGATGATTAGCTTAATAGTGGTTATTTCTTGGTAGTCACATTTTGGGTGATTTTCTTTGTATTTTTCATGTTTTCTGTTGAGCACAATTTGCTTCAGTAATATGAAATATAACAGTAATTTCCAAACGTTAAGTAAACAAGATAACAAATTGTACACACAGTATAATCCCCCCAAAACAAACTTAAGTCTAGTCTAAGAACGAGTGACTGCATTATTAGAGTATGGGTTCTTTTAAATTTTTTCTTTTTTTTTTAACTGAAGTTCTTAGAATAAGGTATTTTAAAATTTAAAATACATTTTCTCTTTTGTAACAGGAAGCCTATGTTAATGAAAGTCTGGAGACAACTTAAGACCTGAGGCTGTACTCTGAAGCTTGTGCTCCGGTATGCCAATGGCATTTGCAGAAAAAGTTGTCCGATATTTTATCTGAACCATATATACAAAATGAGACAAAAAAGGAGGTAGTCACTGCAAACTATAAGGACACAAATGGGGCAGGGTCCTTTGGAGGAAATGCTATGAAGGAAAGTTGCATTCTTTTCTCAGACTGAGGGGAGGGAGGGTTCCTGACCTTTCTAGATTAAAGGATTCTTTAGAAACTCTTTCCACCGCTTCTTTGCCAAACGATGGACGAGTCTGAAGTGAAGCCTCAGAGGGCATGGATACACAAAGGAGTGGCTAAAGGAAAATTCTCTTAAACCTCTGATTGGGTCAAAAATCCACCCTTAAGCCTTATAATAGAAGGCTTGACCACGCCCTCCGCCGCCCCCCTTCACATTACACCATTATACCATTAATAGTAATACAATTTTGATCACAGCACAGGTGTTAAAAATCCCTACCAGCCCGAAGAAACCATAAGGGATCTCTTCATGAAGAAAATAATGTCTTTTCCCCAGCTGTCACTGTCGTGTGCCCTCCATTGGAAGCCTTATTACATTCAGGCTTTTTTTTTTTTTTTTGATTACATTAACCTCCCAAACCTTTGGGAGGCAAGTATTACTATTTTGTTTTAAATAAGCAAGAAAAAGGTCACATTTCAGAAACATGCCAGTGGCCTCACAAATTTCTTAGCAAGCATGAGAGAATCCGAATCCCAAATGTAAGATGACACATTTATAAATAAAACCAAGGACAAATGTCTCCTTTATTCTAAATATACCATCACACTCTGAGTAGCTGGGGTTAACTATTTTTACCCACACCGGCTCTTTTGCATCTCAAACTCATGTAAAACAAAAACGGTGAGAAATGAAAATGGACCCTGGACCAACTGCCCCGGCGGAGTCAAAGGGTTTGTCTTTCAGCACTAGATCCGTGGACACGAAGGGGAAGCTGTGGGCCTTCAGCACTTGACGATTGTGCTTTATTTCTTGCATTTTGTAATACACAGCGACCGATGTCTAAATGTTTATTTCCTGAAAAGGTGTCCAAGGTGGCTGATATAAATTAACAGAATTTCAGATTTTAGCACACATTCAAGGTCCTAGGGCAGCTCCCATCTACCGTCAAAAAAAAAAAAAAAAAAAATTCCAGCATTTGGACAGGGCGGGGAAGGTACTTTAAAACCCAGATCATTGAGATTTTTCTCCTTCGTTTGGAGGAAGGTAGGGTTTGTTCTAACGCTTTGCACAAAGGCGGGAAACGGTCATCAAAGCTGTTGCGAAGGGAAGAGCCAATGCATTAATTCGATCCAAGAGGACTCGCCTCGTTGGATTTGCAGCAACCTAATCTCTCGCTCAGGAAGAAAACGCCACGATAAAGAGTTTTCTGTCCTCCTTGTTTGCACGGAGCAGCAAACGCAGAGACAAAAGAAACGGGCCCCGACTGGTAAGCACGCTGGCAGCTTTGCGGAACTGCGCCGCGGGATTCCCCGCAGGGCCTGGGTCGATGAACTCCGACCAGGCGGAGGGCGCGTCCGCTTGGCGCGGTTGTCCCCGCCCAGGCCCATGTTCAGTCGAACAGCCCCCACGGCTGGGTAAAACCACTCAGTTCATCTCGCCCGGCTCCTCGAACGCGGCCCTTTAAGGGGCTCGCAGCCTCAGGGACGCCGGGCTGACCCCGCCCCCGGCTGCCGCCATCTTGTTGTTTTCCCCTGTCCCTCCGGGCCGGCCACGTGGCACGGCTCCGCGGAAGCGAAGGCACCGCCCCAACTTCCGGCAGGACTGGTTCTAGCCGCCCGCGGGACGCAGACGCGCGGCTGCCCCCTGGCGGCTGGCCGCGGAGCTCCGGCCGCGCCCTGCCCCGCCTTCCTCCGCCATTTCATTCCCTGCCTGCAGCACGTCCGCGTTCCGCCACCAGCCTTGGCGCACAAGCGTGCTCCGAGGGCGGGGCCGCTCCGGGCACCACGCCTAGTGCGGGAGCGTTTTTTAGTCTGGTTCACCGAGGGCTAGAAGGTCACCTACATGTTTACACACATTTAATTTAATTATTAATTTTTTATTTTGTTTTATATTTTTGAGACAGGGGCTCACTCTGTCCCCCAGGCCGGAGTGCAGTGGCGCGACCACAGCCTTCTGCAGCCTCAGCTTCCGTGCTCAAGGGACGCGCCCGCCTCAGCCTCCCAACATGCTGGGATTACGGGCGTGAGCCACCGCCCGGGAACAACTTAATTAAAAAAAAAAAAGCCATACGGTTGCCTCGAGGTATTTTGGTATGCGGTGCTTGGTGCTTCCAGACTAACACATGAGGCCCCAACCTTGGTTTTCAGACCTGGCTTCTGCCCAGAGCCCCAAGCCATGTCAGACCAGGGCGTTTCCCAGGCGGTCCCGGGTCCGCAGTGCAGGGTGGCGCTGGGGGCGAGGGGGACGACGAGCGCGGGGTGGGCACGGTGCGGCCGGGGGGCTGGGGAGGCGCACGGGGCGGGGTGCAGCTCCAGGGACCTGGTCAGCACCCTTTACCAGTCCTATTTCTTGGTTTTCTGGACGTTCTTCTCTCCTTGGAGCTGCTCTTGTCTTTCCCATTTCATCTCCAAACCGATTTTGATTTCCTGAACGTTTGTCTTGAGCAAGGCCTGCGTTATCTTAGGTAATCCTCCTAGCAGCCTTTGATATGGAAGCTCTTTCTACTCACACTGGCGCTCAGCAAGAGTAATTTGTTCATGGGGTAGAGCCTGGTTGGAATCGAGGGCACGTAAGTTTCCACTAGACATTGAGGTTCTCAGATAGTCCTCCAGCCAGGCAGCATCTCCAATGTCGGGGAGCTCGTTGGAAATGCCAGTGTTAGGAGTCTATCCCGGACCTTCTAAATGGGAAATTCTGAGGACGGTGGCGGGTGGGGCCCGAGAAGCTGTGATTACTAGGCAGCAAGGTGATTCCGAGGCACACTGAAGACCCCTTTCCCTCACAGCCCTTCTCAGGGTAAGGAAAGGGAGACTTGTCTTTATTGAGTGCTGATTCCATGGCATTTTGCATAATTCTGTGATGTAATCCTCCCTACCACTCTTTTATAGAAGAGGAAACTGTAGCTCAAACTTTCCATGAATTTAGAGTGCCAATATTTATGTAAAATGATACGATTGTATGTGCCTTTTGCTTGTACCATGTATGCATAAAATATCTCTGGAAGAATATTCAGGTGTTAACATAGTTTTACCTCCGGGGAGAGAAGGATGTAGGTTGCTAGGGTGACTGAGTTGGGATTTTTTTTTTTTTTGGTAAGATTTAGTAACTTGTGGCCGGGCGCGGTGGCTCACGTTTGTAATGCCAGCACTTTGGGAGGCCGAAGCGGGCGGATCACAAGATCAAGAGATCGAGGCCGCGCGCGGTGGCTCACGCCTGTAATCCCAGCACTTTGGGAGGCCGAGGCGGGCGGATTACGAGGTCAGGAGATCGAGACCATCCTGGCTAACACGGCGAAACCCTGTCTTTACTAAAAATACAAAAAATTAGCCGGGAGTGGTGGCGGGTGCTTGTAGTCCTGGAGGCTGAGGCAGGAGAATGGCGTGAACCTGGGAGGCGGAGACTGCAGTGAGCCGAGATCGCGCAACTGCACTCCAGCCTGGGCAACAGAGCGAGACTCCGTCTGAATAAAAAAAAAAAGAAATTGAGATCATCCTGGCCAACATGGTGAAACCCCGTCTCTACTAAAAATACAAAAATTAGCTGGGCGTGGTGGCACGCGCCTGTAGTCCCAGCAGCTCGGGAGGCTGAGGCAGGAGAATCTCTTGAACCCGGGAGGTGGAGGTTGCAGTGAGCCGAGATGGCGCCACTGCACTCTAGCCTGGGCAACAGAGCGAGACTCCCTCTCAATAAAAAAAAAAAATTTAGTAACTTATGAATTTGGACCATGTGAACCTATTACTTGTTCCAGGTAAAACTGAACAGTTGAAAAGTATGCTGGGCTAGGCGTAGTGGCTCAAGCCTGTAATTCCAGCGCTTTGAGAGGCCGAGGTGGGAGGATCGCTTGATTTCAGGAGTTTGAGACCAGCGTGGGCAACGTAGACCCCTATCTCTATTTTTAAAATATACTCTAAAGGCCGGGTGCGGTGGCTCAAGCCTGTGAGGGCCGGGCACCGTGGCTCCCAGCACTTCGGAAGGCTGAGGCGGGCGGATTGCCAGAGGTCAGGAGTTTCAGACCAGCCTGGCTAACGTGGTGAAACCGCCTCTCTACTAAAAATACCAAAAAAAAAAAAAAAAAAAAAAAAAAAAAGAAAATTAGCCAGGCATGGTGGCGCATGCTTGTAGTCCCAGCTACTCGGGAGGCTGAGGCAGGAGAACCACTTGAACGGGAGGCAGAGGTTGCAGTGAGCCGAGATTGCGCCACTGCACTGCAGCCTGGGCAACAGAGGGAGACTCCGTCTCAAAAAAAATAAAAATTATCTATCTATCTATCTATCTATCTACCTACCTACTTACATACATACACACTAAGATCTACCTACCTGCCTACCTACATACATACACACTAAGAACAGTATTAGAACTAAAACCAGAATTTGAATTGAGGTCTGACTGGCTCCGGATTCCATATCCTCTCATGATTACACATGAAAAACTGTTTTAAACATAAAATGCTCTGCCGGGCGCGGTTGGTCACGCCTGTAATCCCAGCAGTTTGGGAGGCCGAGGCCGGTAGATCACTTGAGGTCAGGAGTTCAAGACCAGCTTGGCCAATATGGTGAAACCCCATCTTTACTAAAACTACAAAAATTAGCTGGGCGTGGTGGCACGTGCCTGTAGTCTCAGCTACTTGGGAGGCTGAGGCAGGAGAATCGCTTAAACCCAGGAGGCAGAGGTTGCAGTGAGCTGAGATAGTGCGACTGCACTGCAGCCTGGGCAACAGAGACTCTGCCTCAAAACAAAAAAGCTCTATAAATTTCAGGTGTTGTTATTAATAATGAAATATTAAATTATTTCTTAGGGCCAGGCACCATGGCTCATGCTTGTAATCCCCACACTTTGGGAGGCCAAGGCAGGAGGATCGCTTGAGCTCAGGAGTCAAGACCAGCCTGGGCAACATAGTAAGACCTCATCTCTAAAAAAAATAAATAAACTATTTCTTAGAAATGTAGTTCCTGTTTAGACCTTTGAACAATGACCATGTCTAGTGGTCTCTCCATAGCACATGATGTATAAAATTGTTCTTATTTTCATTACTAACAGCTACAAAATAACTATAAAGTAGATCATAAATATGCCATATGTAAATATGTATACATAGTGCTTTTATTTTTATGTGGAATCTAAATCAAATATGTGAAGAGCTTCTTGGGTTGGGCATTTATTCTGCCACTTTTTAAGGGGCATTGCAAAGGCAATTCAGGGCTTTGTGACTTTGGACATGTAACTTAACCTCTCAGCGCTTCAGTTTGCTCCTTTGTAAAACAGATTTGTAAAAAGTGCTTGTTCCAGGCTGGGCTTGGTGGCTCACTCCTGTAATCCCAGCACTTTGGGAGGCTGAAGCAGTGGATCGCCTGAGTCCAGGAGTTCGAGACCAGCCTGGGCAACAAGGTGAAATGCCCTCTCTACTAAAATTACAAAAATTAGCTGGGTGTGGTAGCGTGTGCCTGTAATCCCAGCTACTCTGGGGGTGCTGAGGTGGGAGGATCGCTTGAGCCCAGGAGGTCGAGGCTTCAGTGAGCCCAGATGGTGCCATTGCACTCCAGCCTCGGCAACAGAGTGAGACCCAGTGTCAACAAATATATAAGTAAACAAATAAATAAATACATAAAGTACTTGCCTGTAGGCTTGTTGTGAGGTTGGATTGTGTCACGGTATATACCTTATTTGGAATATTGCTTGGCACAGTCATTGTTAGATAAATAAAAAAAATCAAAAGAGATGTAGAAATAGAAGTTTGATGAGAGTTCAGAGGAAAAAGATTTCTTTTTCTTTTTTTCCTGAGGCGGAGTCTTACTCTGATTCCCAGGCTGGAGTGCAGTGGCACGATCTTGGCTCACTGCAACCTCTGTCTCCTTGGTTCAAGCGATTCCAGAGGAGAAAGATGTTAATGTTTGTTTTGTACCTAGAACCTCATCGCTGGATGGGATTGTAAAGATCTGTGACTATTTTACACATTTGTTCTTTTTTTTTTTTTTTTGAGACAGAGTCTTGGTCTGTT